>NC_000010.11:41117818-41307629 GCF_000001405.40 Homo sapiens
CTAGACAAAATCATTCTCAGAAAACACTTTGTGATGTGTGTGTTCAACTCACAGAGTTTAACCTTTCTTTAATCGAGCAGTTTGGAAATACACTCTTTGTAAATCTGCAGGTGGATAATTGGCCCTCTTTGAGGCCTTCGTTGGAAACGGGATTTCCTCATATAATGCTAGACAGAAGAATTCTCAGTAACTTCTTTGTGTTGTTTGTATTCAACTCACAGATTTGAACCTTCCTTTAGAGAGAGCAGATTTGAAACACTCTGTTTTTGGAATTTGCAAGTGCAGATTTCAAGCGCTTCTAGGCCTATGGCAGAAAAGGAAATATCTTCGTATAAAAACTACACAGAATCATTCTCAACAACTACTTTGTGATGTGTGCGTTCAACTCCCAGAGTTTAACCTTTCTTTTCATAGAGCAGTTTGGAAACACTCTGTTTGTAAAGCCTGCAAGTGCTTTTTTGGACTTCATTGAGGCCTTCGTTGGAAACGGGATTTCTTCATATAATGCTAGACAGAAGAATTCTCAGTCACTTCTTTGTGTTGTGTGTATTCAAGTCACAGAGTTGAACCTTCCTTTAGACAGAGTAGTTTTGAAAAATTCTTTCTGTGGAATTTGCAAGTGGAGATTTCAAGCGAATTGAGGCTAATCTTTGAAATGGAAATATCTTCGTGTAAAAACTATACAGAATCATTGTCAGAAACTGCTTTGTTATGTGTGCGTTCAGCTCACAGAGTTCCACCTTTGTTTTCATAGAGCAGTTTGGAAAGACTCTGTCTGTAAAGTCTGCAAGTGATTACTTGGACCCCTTTGAGGACTTCGTTGGAAGCGGGATTTTTTCATTTACTGCTAGACAGAAGAATTCTCAGTAAATCCTTTGTGTTGTGTGTATTCAACTCACAGAGTGGAACCTTCCTTTATTCAGAGCAGTTTTGAAACACTCTTTTTGTGGAATTTGCAAGTGGAGATTTCAAGCGAATTCACGCCAATCTTAGACATGGAAACATCTTCGTATTAAAAGTACACAGAGTCATTCGTAGAAACTAGTTTGTGATGTGTGCCTTCAACTCACAGAGTTTAACCTTTCTTTTCATAGAGCAGTTGGGAAACACTCTATTTGTAATGTCTGCAAGTGGATATTTGGACCTCTTTGAGGCCTTCGTTGGAAATGGGATTTCTTCATACAACACTAGACAGAAGAATTCTCAGTAACTTCTTTGTGTTGTTTGTATTCAACTCACAGATTTGAACCTTCCTTTAGAGAGAGCAGATTTGAAACACTCTGTTTTTGGAATTTGCAAGTGCAGATTTCAAGCGCTTCTAGGCCTATGGCAGAAAAGGAAATATCTTCGTATAAAAACTACACAGAATCATTCTCAACAACTACTTTGTGATGTGTGCGTTCAACTCACAGAGTTTAACCTTTCTTTTCATAGAGCAGTTTGGAAACACTCTGTTTGTAAAGTCTGCAGGTGCTTATTTGGACTTCTTTGAGGCCTTCGTTGGAAACGGGATTTCTTCATGTAATGCTAGACAGAAGAATTCTCAGTCACTTCTTTGTGTTGTGTGTATTCAAGTCACAGAGTTGAACCTTCCTTTAGACAGAGCAGTTTTGAAAAATTCTTTCTGTGGAGTTTGCAAGTGGAGATTTCAAGCGATTTGAGGCTAATCTTTGAAATGGAAATATCTTCGTGTAAAAACTACACAGAATCATTGTCAGAAACTGCTTTGTTATGTGTGCGTTCAGCTCACAGAGTTCCACCTTTCTTTTCATAGAGCAGTTTGGAAAGACTCTGTCTGTAAAGTCTGCAAGTGATTACTTGGACCCCTTTGAGGACTTCGTTGGAAGCGGGATTTTTTCATTTACTGCTAGACAGAAGAATTCTCAGTAAATCCTTTGTGTTGTGTGTATTCAACTCACAGAGTGGAACCTTCCTTTATTCAGAGCACTTTTGAAACACTCTTTTTGTGGAATTTGCAAGTGGAGATTTCAAGCGAATTCACGCCAATCTTAGACATGGAAACATCTTCGTATTAAAAGTACACAGAGTCATTCGCAGAAACTAGTTTGTGATGTGTGCCTTCAACTCACGGAGTTTAACCTTTCTTTTCATAGAGCAGTTTGGAAACACTCTATTTGTAAAGTCTGCAAGTGGATATTTGGACCTCTTTGAGGCCTTCGTTGGAAACGGGATTTCTTCATATAACGCTAGACAGAAGAATTCTCAGTAACTTCTTTGTGTTGTGTGTATTCAACTCACAGAGTTGAACCTTTCTTGAGAGAGAGCAGAGTTGAAACACTCTGTTTGTGGAATTTGCTAGTGCAGATTTCAAACGCTTCGAAGACAGTGATAGAAAAGGATATATCTTCGTATTAAAACTAGACAAAATCATTCTCAGAAAACACTTTGTGATGTGTGTGTTCAACTCACAGAGTTTAACCTTTCTTTAATCGAGCAGTTTGGAAATACACTCTTTGTAAGTCTGCAGCTGGATAATTGTCCCTCTATGAGCCCTTCGTTGGAAACGGGATTTCCTCTTATAATGCTAGACAGAAGAATTCTCAGTCACTTCTTTGTGTTGTGTGTATTCAAGTCACAGAGTTGAACCTTCCTTTAGACAGAGCAGTTTTGAAAAATTCTTTCTGTGGAGTTTGCAAGTGGAGATTTCAAGCGATTTGAGGCTAATCTTTGAAATGGAAATATCTTCGTGTAAAAACTACACAGAATCATTCTCAGAAACTGCTTTGTTATGTGTGCGTTCAGCTCACAGAGTTCCACCTTTCTTTTCATAGAGCAGTTTGGAAAGACTCTGTCTGTAAAGTCTGCAAGTGATTACTTGGACCCCTTTGAGGACTTCGTTGGAAGCGGGATTTTTTCATTTACTGCTAGACAGAAGAATTCTCAGTAAATCCTTTGTGTTGTGTGTATTCAACTCACAGAGTTGAACCTTCCTTTATTCAGAGCAGTTTTGAAAAACACTTTTTGTGGAATTTGGAAGTGGAGATTTCAAGCGATTTGACGCCAATCTTAGACATGGAAATATCTTCATATTAAAAGTACACAGAGTCATTCGTAGAAACTAGTTTGTGATGTGTGCCTTCAACTCACAGAGTTTAACCTTTCTTTTCATAGAGTAGTTTGGAAACACTCTATTTGTAAAGTCTGCAAGTGGATATTTGGACCTCTTTGAGGCCTTCGTTCGAAAAGGGATTTCTTCATACAACGCTAGACAGAAGAATTCTCAGTAACTTCTTTGTGTTGTGTGTATTCAACTCACAGCAGTTGAACCTTTCTTTAGAGAGAGCAGAGTTGAAACACTCTGTTTTTGGAATTTGCAAGTGCAGATTTCAAGCGATTCTAGGCCTATGGCAGAAAAGGAAATATCTTCGTATAAAAACTACACAGAATCATTCTCAACAACTACTTTGTGATGTGTGCGTTCAACTCACATAGTTTAACCTTTCTTTTCATAGAGCAGTTTGGAAACACTCTGTTTGTAAAGCCTGCAATTGCTTTTTTGGCCTTCATTGAGGCCTTCGTTGGAAAGGGTATTTCTTCATATAATGCTAGACAGAAGAATTCTCAGTCACTTCTTTGTGTTGTGTGTATTCAAGTCACAGAGTTGAACCTTCCTTTAGACAGAGCAGTTTTGAAAAATTCTTTCTGTGGAGTTTGCAAGTGGAGATTTCAAGCGATTTGAGGCTAATCTTTGAAATGGAAATATCTTCGTGTAAAAACTACACAGAATCATTCTCAGAAACTGCTTTGTTATGTGTGCGTTCAGCTCACAGAGTTCCACCTTTCTTTTCATAGAGCAGTTTGGAAAGACTCTGTCTGTAAAGTCTGCAAGTGATTACTTGGACCCCTTTGAGGACTTCGTTGGAAGCGGGATTTTTTCATTTACTGCTAGACAGAAGAATTCTCAGTAAATCCTTTGTGTTGTGTGTATTCAACTCACAGAGTGGAACCTTCCTTTATTCAGAGCAGTTTTGAAACACTCTTTTTGTGGAATTTGCAAGTGGAGATTTCAAGCGAATTCACGCCAATCTTAGACATGGAAACATCTTCGTATTAAAAGTACACAGAGTCATTCGTAGAAACTAGTTTGTGATGTGTGCCTTCAACTCACAGAGTTTAACCTTTCTTTTCATAGAGCAGTTTGGAAACACTATATTTGTAAAGTCTGCAAGTGGATATTTGGACCTCTTTGAGGCCTTCGTTGGAAACGGGATTTCTTCATACAACGCTAGACAGAAGAATTCTCAGTAACTTCTTTGTGTTGTGTGTATTCCACTCACAGAGTTGAACCTTTCTTGAGAGAGAGCAGAGTTGAAACACTCTGTTTGTGGAATTTGCTAGTGCAGATTTCAAACGCTTCGAAGACAGTGATAGAAAAGGATATATCTTCGTATTAAAACTAGACAAAATCATTCTCAGAAAACACTTTGTGATGTGTGTGTTCAACTCACAGAGTTTAACCTTTCTTTAATCGAGCAGTTTGGAAATACACTCTTTGTAAGTCTGCAGCTGGATAATTGTCCCTCTATGAGCCCTTCGTTGGAAACGGGATTTCCTCATATAATGCTAGACAGAAGAATTCTCAGTCACTTCTTTGTGTTGTGTGTATTCAAGTCACAGAGTTGAACCTTCCTTTAGACAGAGCAGTTTTGAAAAATTCTTTCTGTGGAGTTTGCAAGTGGAGATTTCAAGCGATTTGAGGCTAATCTTTGAAATGGAAATATCTTCGTGTAAAAACTACACAGAATCATTCTCAGAAACTGCTTTGTTATGTGTGCGTTCAACTCACAGAGTTCCACCTTTCTTTTCATAGAGCAGTTTGGAAAGACTCTGTCTGTAAAGTCTGCAAGTGATTACTTGGACCCCTTTGAGGACTTCGTTGGAAGCGGGATTTTTTCATTTACTGCTAGACAGAAGAATTCTCAGTAAATCCTTTGTGTTGTGTGTATTCAACTCACAGAGTGGAACCTTCCTTTATTCAGAGCAGTTTTGAAACACTCTTTTTGTGGAATTTGCAAGTGGAGATTTCAAGCGAATTCACGCCAATCTTAGACATGGAAACATCTTCGTATTAAAAGTACACAGAGTCATTCGCAGAAACTAGTTTGTGATGTGTGCCTTCAACTCACGGAGTTTAACCTTTCTTTTCATAGAGCAGTTTGGAAACACTCTATTTGTAAAGTCTGCAAGTGGATATTTGGACCTCTTTGAGGCCTTCGTTGGAAACGGGATTTCTTCATATAACGCTAGACAGAAGAATTCTCAGTAACTTCTTTGTGTTGTGTGTATTCCACTCACAGAGTTGAACCTTTCTTGAGAGAGAGCAGAGTTGAAACACTCTGTTTGTGGAATTTGCTAGTGCCGATTTCAAACGCTTCGAAGACAGTGATAGAAAAGGATATATCTTCGTATTTAAACTAGACAAAATCATTCTCAGAAAACACTTTGTGATGTGTGTGTTCAACTCACAGAGTTTAACCTTTCTTTAATCGAGCAGTTTGGAAATACACTCTTTGTAAGTCTGCAGCTGGATAATTGTCCCTCTATGAGCCCTTCGTTGGAAACGGGATTTCCTCATATAATGCTAGACAGAAGAATTCTCAGTCACTTCTTTGTGTTGTGTGTATTCAAGTCACAGAGTTGAACCATCCTTTACACAGAGCAGTTTTGAAAAACTCTTTCTGTGGAATTTGCAAGTGGAGATTTCAAGCGATTTGAGGCTAATCTTTGAAATGGAAATAGCTTCGTGTAAAAACTACACAGAATCATTCTCAGAAACTGCTTTGTTATGTGTGCGTTCAGCTCACAGAGTTCCACCTTTCTTTTCATAGAGCAGTTTGGAAAGACTCTGTCTGTAAAGTCTGCAAGTGATTACTTGGACCCCTTTGAGGACTTCGTTGGAAGCGGGATTTTTTCATTTACTGCTAGACAGAAGAATTCTCAGTAAATCCTTTGTGTTGTGTTTATTCAACTCACAGAGTGGAACCTTCCTTTATTCAGAGCAGTTTTGAAACACTCTTTTTGTGGAATTTGCAAGTGGAGATTTCAAGCGATTTGACGCCAATCTTAGACATGGAAATATCTTCATATTAAAAGTACACAGAATCATTCTCAGAAAAACACTTTGTGATGTGTGTGTTCAACTCACAGAGTTTAACCTTTCTTTAATCGAGCAGTTTGGAAATACACTCTTTGTAAGTCTGCAGCTGGATAATTGTCCCTCTATGAGCCCTTCGTTGGAAACGGGATTTCCTCATATAATGCTAGACAGAAGAATTCTCAGTAACTTCTTTGTGTTGTTTGTATTCAACTCACAGATTTGAACCTTCCTTTAGAGAGAGCAGATTTGAAACACTCTGTTTTTGGAATTTGCAAGTGCAGATTACAAGCGCTTCTAGGCCTATGGCAGAAAAGGAAATATCTTCGTATAAAAACTACACAGAATCATTCTCGACAACTACTTTGTGATGTGTGCGTTCAACTCACAGAGTTTAACGTTTCTTTTCATAGAGCAGTTTGGAAACACTCTGTTTGTAAAGTCTGCAGGTGCTTATTTGGACTTCTTTGAGGCCTTCGTTGGAAACGGGATTTCTTCATATAATGCTAGACAGAAGAATTCTCAGTCACTTCTTTGTGTTGTGTGTATTCAAGTCACAGAGTTGAACCTTCCTTTAGACAGAGCAGTTTTGAAAAATTCTTTCTGTGGAATTTGCAAGTGGAGATTTCAAGCGATTTGAGGCTAATCTTTGAAATGGAAATATCTTCGTGTAAAAACTACACAGAATCATTCTCAGAAACTGCTTTGTTATGTGTGCGTTCAGCTCACAGAGTTCCACCTTTCTTTTCATAGAGCAGTTTGGAAAGACTCTGTCTGTAAAGTCTGCAAGTGATTACTTGGACCCCTTTGAGGACTTCGTTGGAAGCGGGATTTTTTCATTTACTGCTAGACAGAAGAATTCTCAGTAAATCCTTTGTGTTGTGTGTATTCAACTCACAGAGTGGAACCTTCCTTTATTCAGAGCAGTTTTGAAAAACACTTTTTGTGGAATTTGCAAGTGGAGATTTCAAGCGATTTGACGCCAATCTTAGACATGGAAATATCTTCATATTAAAAGTACACAGAGTCATTCGTAGAAACTAGTTTGTGATGTGTGCCTTCAACTCACAGAGTTTAACCTTTCTTTTCATAGAGCAGTTTGGAAACACTCTATTTGTAAAGTCTGCAAGTGGATATTTGGACCTCTTTGAGGCCTTCGTTGGAAACGGGATTTCTTCATACAACGCTAGACAGAAGAATTCTCAGTAACTTCTTTGTGTTGTTTGTATTCAACTCACAGATTTGAACCTTCCTTTAGAGAGAGCAGATTTGAAACACTCTGTTTTTGGAATTTGCAAGTGCAGATTTCAAGCGCTTCTAGGCCTATGGCAGAAAAGGCAATATCTTCGTATAAAAACTACACAGAATCATTCTCAACAACTACTTTGTGATGTGTGCGTTAAACTCACAGTTTAACCTTTCTTTTCATAGAGCAGTTTGGAAACACTCTATTTGTAAAATCTGCAAGTGGATATTTGGACCTCTTTGAGGCCTTCGTTGGAAACGGGATTTCTTCATACAACGCTAGACAGAAGAATTCTCAGTAACTTCTTTGTGTTGTGTGTATTCAACTCACAGAGTTGAACCTTTCTTTAGAGAGAGCAGAGTTGAAACACTCTGTTTTTGGAATTTGCAAGTGCAGATATCAAGCGATTCTAGGCCTATGGCAGAAAAGGAAATATCTTCGTATAAAAACTGCACAGAATCATTCTCAACAACTACTTTGTGATGTGTGCGTTCAACTCACAGAGTTTAACCTTTCTTTTCATAGAGCAGTTTGGAAACACTCTGTTTGTAAAGCCTGCAAGTGCTTTTTTGGACTTCATTGAGGCCTTCGTTGGAAACGGGATTTCTTCATATAATGCTAGACAGAAGAATTCTCAGTCACTTCTTTGTGTTGTGTGTATTCAAGTCACAGAGTTGAACCGTCCTTTAGACAGAGCAGTCTTGAAAAATTCTGTCTGTGGAATTTGCAAGTGGAGATTTCAAGCAATTTGAGGCTAATCTTTGAAATGGAAATATCTTCGGTGTAAAAACTACACAGAATCATTCTCAGAAACTGCTTTGTTATCTGTGCATTCAGTTCACAGAGTTCCACCTTTCTCTTCATAGAGCAGTTTGGAAAGACTCTGTCTGTAAAGTCTGCAAGTGATTACTTAGACCCCTTTGAGGCCTTCGTTTGAAGCGGGATTTCTCATTTACTGCTAGACAGAAGAATTCTCAGTAAATCCTTTGTGTTGTGTGTATTCAACTCACAGAGTTGAACCTTCCTTTATTCAGAGAGGTTTTGAAAAAACACTTATTGTGGAATTTGCAAGTGGAGATTTCAAGCGATTTGACGCCAATCTTAGACATGGAAATATCTTCATATTAAAAGTACACAGAGTCATTCGTAGAAACTAGTTTGTGATGTGTGCCTTCAACTCACAGAGTTTAACCTTTCTTTTCATAGAGCAGTTTGGAAACACTCTGTTTGTAAAGCCTGCAAGTGCTTTTTTGGACTTCATTGAGGCCTTCGTTGGAAACGGGATTTCTTCATATAATGCTAGACAGAAGAATTCTCAGTAACTTCTTTGTGTTGTGTGTATTCAAGTCACAGAGTTGAACTTTCCTTTAGACAGAGCAGTTTTGAAAAATTCTTTCTGTGGAGTTTGCAAGTGGAGATTTCAAGCGATTTGAGGCTATTCTTTGAAATGGAAATATCTTCGTGTAAAAACTACACAGAATCATTCTCAGAAACTGCTTTGTTATGTGTGCGTTCAGCTCACAGAGTTCCACCTTTCTTTTCATAGAGCAGTTTGGAAAGACTCTGTCTGTAAAGTCTGCAAGTGATTACTTGGACCCCTTTGAGGACTTCGTTGGAAGCGGGATTTTTTCATTTACTGCTAGACAGAAGAATTCTCAGTAAATCCTTTGTGTTGTGTGTATTCAACTCACAGAGTGGAACCTTCCTTTATTCAGAGCACTTTTGAAACACTCTTTTTGTGGAATTTGCAAGTGGAGATTTCAAGCGAATTCACGCCAATCTTAGACATGGAAACATCTTCGTATTAAAAGTACACAGAGTCATTCGCAGAAACTAGTTTGTGATGTGTGCCTTCAACTCACGGAGTTTAACCTTTCTTTTCATAGAGCAGTTTGGAAACACTCTATTTGTAAAGTCTGCAAGTGGATATTTGGACCTCTTTGAGGCCTTCGTTGGAAACGGGATTTCTTCATATAACGCTAGACAGAAGAATTCTCAGTAACTTCTTTGTGTTGTTTGTATTCAACTCACAGATTTGAACCTTCCTTTAGAGAGAGCAGATTTGAAACACTCTGTTTTTGGAATTTGCAAGTGCAGATTACAAGCGCTTCTAGGCCTATGGCAGAAAAGGAAATATCTTCGTATAAAAACTACACAGAATCATTCTCAACAACTACTTTGTGATGTGTGCTTTCAACTCACAGAGTTTAACCTTTCTTTTCATAGAGCAGTTTGGAAACACTCTGTTTGTAAAGTCTGCAGGTGCTTATTTGGACTTCTTTGAGGCCTTCGTTGGAAACGGGATTTCTTCATATAATGCTAGACAGAAGAATTCTCAGTCACTTCTTTGTGTTGTGTGTATTCAAGTCACAGAGTTGAACCTTCCTTTACACAGAGCAGTTTTGAAAAACTCTTTCTGTGGAATTTGCAAGTGGAGATTTCAAGCGATTTGAGGCTAATCTTTGAAATGGAAATATCTTCGTGTAAAAACTACACAGAATCATTCTCAGAAACTGCTTTGTTATGTGTGCGTTCAGCTCACAGAGTTCCACCTTTCTTTTCATAGAGCAGTTTGGAAAGTCTCTGTCTGTAAAGTCTGCAAGTGATTACTTGGACCCCTTTGAGGACTTCGTTGGAAGCGGGATTTTTTCATTTACTGCTAGACAGAAGAATTCTCAGTAAATCCTTTGTGTTGTGTGTATTCAACTCACAGAGTGGAACCTTCCTTTATTCAGAGCAGTTTTGAAACACTCTTTTTGTGGAATTTGCAAGTGGAGATTTCAAGCGAATTCACGCCAATCTTAGACATGGAAACATCTTCGTATTAAAAGTACACAGAGTCATTCGCAGAAACTAGTTTGTGATGTGTGCCTTCAACTCACAGAGTTTAACCTTTCTTTTCATAGAGCAGTTTGGAAACACTCTATTTGTAAAGTCTGCAAGTGGATATTTGGACCTCTTTGAGGCCTTCGTTGGAAACGGGATTTCTTCATATAACGCTAGACAGAAGAATTCTCAGTAACTTCTTTGTGTTGTGTGTATTCCACTCACAGAGTTGAACCTTTCTTGAGAGAGAGCAGAGTTGAAACACTCTGTTTGTGGAATTTGCTTGTGCCGATTTCAAACGCTTCGAAGACAGTGATAGAAAAGGATATATCTTCGTATTAAAACTAGACAAAATCATTCTCAACAACTACTTTGTGATGTGTGCGTTCAACTCACAAAGTTTAACCTTTCTTTTCATAGAGCAGTTTGGAAACACGCTGTTTGTAAAGCCTGCAAGTGCTTTTTTGGACTTCATTGAGGCCTTCGTTGGAAACGGGATTTCTTCATATAATGCTAGACAGAAGAATTCTCAGTAAATCATTTGTGTTGCGTTTATTCAACTCACAGAGTGGAACCTTCCTTTATTCAGAGCAGTTTTGAAACACTCTTTTTGTGGAATTTGCAAGTGGAGATTTCAAGCGATTTGACGCCAATCTTAGACATGGAAATATCTTCATATTAAAAGTACACAGAGTCATTCGTAGAAACTAGTTTGTGATGTGTGCCTTCAACTCACAGAGTTTAACCTTTCTTTTCATAGAGCAGTTGGGAAACACTCTATTTGTAAAGTCTGCAAGTGGATATTTGGACCTCTTTGAGGCCTTCGTTGGAAACGGGATTTCTTCATATAACGCTAGACAGAAGAATTCTCAGTAACTTCTTTGTGTTGTGTGTATTCAACTCACAGAGTTGAACCTTTCTTTAGAGGGAGCAGAGGTGAAACACTCTTTTTGTGGAATTTGCTAGTGCAGATTTCAAACGCTTCGAAGACAGTGATAGAAAAGGATATATCTTCGTATTAAAAGTAGACAAAATCATTCTCAGAAAACACTTTGTGATGTGTGTGTTCAACTCACAGAGTTTAACCTTTCTGTAATCGAGCAGTTTGGAAATACACTCTTTGTAAGTCTGCAGGTGGATAATTGTCCCTCTATGAGCCCTTCGTTGGAAACGGGATTTCCTCATATAATGCTAGACAGAAGAATTCTCAGTCACTTCTTTGTGTTGTGTGTATTCAAGTCACAGAGTTGAACCTTCCTTTACACAGAGCAGTTTTGAAAAACTCTTTCTGTGGAATTTGCAAGTGGAGATTTCAAGCGATTTGAGGCTAATCTTTGAAATGGAAATAGCTTCGTGTAAAAACTACACAGAATCATTCTCAGAAACTGCTTTGTTATGTGTGCGTTCAGCTCACAGAGTTCCACCTTTCTTTTCATAGAGCAGTTTGGAAAGACTCTGTCTGTAAAGTCTGCAAGTGATTACTTGGACCCCTTTGAGGACTTCGTTGGAAGCGGGATTTTTTCATTTACTGCTAGACAGAAGAATTCTCAGTAAATCCTTTGTGTTGTGTGTATTCAACTCACAGAGTGGAACCTTCCTTTATTCAGAGCAGTTTTGAAACACTCTTTTTGTGGAATTTGCAAGTGGAGATTTCAAGCGAATTCACGCCAATCTTAGACATGGAAACATCTTCGTATTAAAAGTACACAGAGTCATTCGCAGAAACTAGTTTGTGATGTGTGCCTTCAACTCACGGAGTTTAACCTTTCTTTTCATAGAGCAGTTTGGAAACACTCTATTTGTAAAGTCTGCAAGTGGATATTTGGACCTCTTTGAGGCCTTCGTTGGAAACGGGATTTCTTCATATAACGCTAGACAGAAGAATTCTCAGTAACTTCTTTGTGTTGTGTGTATTCAACTCACAGAGTTGAACCTTTCTTTAGAGGGAGCAGAGGTGAAACACTCTTTTTGTGGAATTTGCTAGTGTAGATTTCAAACGCTTCGAAGACAGTGATAGAAAAGGATATATCTTCGTATTAAAAGTAGACAAAATCATTCTCAGAAAACTCTTTGTGATGTGTGTGTTCAACTCACAGAGTTTAACCTTTCTTTAATCGAGCAGTTTGGAAATACACTCTTTGTAAGTCTGCAGGTGGATATTTGGCCCTCTTTGAGCCCTTCGTTGGAAACGGGATTTCCTCATATAATGCTAGACAGAAGAATTCTCAGTAACTTCTTTGTGTTGTTTGTATTCAACACACAGATTTGAACCTTCCTTTAGAGAGAGCAGATTTGAAACACTCTGTTTTTGGAATTTGCAAGTGCAGATTTCAAGCGCTTCTAGGCCTATGGCAGAAAAGGAAATATCTTCGTATAAAAACTACACAGAATCATTCTCAACAACTACTTTGTGATGTGTGCGTTCAACTCACAAAGTTTAACCTTTCTTTTCATAGAGAAGGTTGGAAACACTCTGTTTTGTAAAGCCTGCAAGTGCTTTTTTAGCGACTTCATTGAGGCCTTCGTTGGAAACGGGATTTCTTCATATAATGCTAGACAGAAGAATTCTCAGTCACTTCTTTGTGTTGTGTGTATTCAAGTCACAGAGTTGAACCTTCCTTTAGACAGAGCAGTTTTGAAAAATTCTTTCTGTGGAGTTTGCAAGTGGAGATTTCAAGCGATTTGAGGCTAATCTTTGAAATGGAAATATCTTCGTGTAAAAACTACACAGAATCATTCTCAGAAACTGCTTTGTCATCTGTGCGTTCAGTTCACAGAGTTTCACCTTTCTCTTCATAGAGCAGTTTGGAAAGACTCTGTCTGTAAAGTCTGCAAGTGATTAGTTAGACCCCTTTGCG
Organism: Homo sapiens; assembly: GCF_000001405.40. Lineage (NCBI taxonomy): Eukaryota > Metazoa > Chordata > Mammalia > Primates > Hominidae > Homo > Homo sapiens. The sequence continues at coordinate 41,130,864 of NC_000010.11, forward strand.
GCCTTCGTTGGAAGCGGGATTTCTCATTTACTGCTAGACAGAAGAATTCTCAGTAAATCCTTTGTGTTGTGTGTATTCAACTCACAGAGTGGAACCTTCCTTTATTCAGAGCAGTTTTGAAACACTCTTTTTGTGGAATTTGCAAGTGGAGATTTCAAGCGATTTGACGCCAATCTTAGACATGGAAATATCTTCATATTAAAAGTACACAGAGTCATTCGTAGAAACTAGTTTGTGATGTGTGCCTTCAACTCACAGAGTTTAACCTTTCTTTTCATAGAGCAGTTTGGAAACACTCTATTTGTAAAGTCTGCAAGTGGATATTTGGACCTCTTTGAGGCCTTCGTTGGAAACGGGATTTCTTCATACAACGCTAGACAGAAGAATTCTCAGTAACTTCTTTGTGTTGTGTGTATTCAACTCACAGAGTTGAACCTTTCTTGAGAGAGAGCAGAGTTGAAACACTCTTTCTGTGGAATTTGCTAGTGCAGATTTCAAACGCTTCGAAGACAGTGATAGAAAAGGATATATCTTCGTATTAAAACTAGACAAAATCATTCTCAGAAAACACTTTGTGATGTGTGTGTTCAACTCACAGAGTTTAACCTTTCTTTAATCGAGCAGTTTGGAAATACACTCTTTGTAAGTCTGCAGCTGGATAATTGTCCCTCTATGAGCCCTTCGTTGGAAACAGGATTTCCTCTTATAATGCTAGACAGAAGAATTCTCAGTAACTTCTTTGTGTTGTTTGTATTCAACTCACAGATTTGAACCTTCCTTTAGAGAGAGCAGATTTGAAACACTCTGTTTTTGGAATTTGCAAGTGCAGATTACAAGCGCTTCTAGGCCTATGGCAGAAAAGGAAATATCTTCGTATAAAAACTACACAGAAATCATTCTCAACAACTACTTTGTGATGTGTGCGTTCAACTCACAGAGTTTAACCTTTCTTTTCATAGAGCAGTTTGGAAACACTCTGTTTGTAAAGCCTGCAAGTGCTTTTTTGGACTTCATTGAGGCCTTCGTTGGAAACGGGATTTCTTCATATAATGCTAGACAGAAGAATTCTCAGTCACTTCTTTGTGTTGTGTGTATTCAAGTCACAGAGTTGAACCTTCTTTTAGACAGAGCAGTTTTGAAAAATTTTTTCTGTGGAATTTGCAAGTGGAGATTTCAAGCGATTTGAGGCTAATCTTTGAAATGGAAATATCTTCGTGTAAAAACTACACAGAATCATTGTCAGAAACTGCTTTGTTATGTGTGCGTTCAGCTCACAGAGTTCCACCTTTCTTTTCATAGAGCAGTTTGGAAAGACTCTGTCTGTAAAGTCTGCAAGTGATTACTTGGACCCCTTTGAGGACTTCGTTGGAAGCGGGATTTTTTCATTTACTGCTAGACAGAAGAATTCTCAGTAAATCCTTTGTGTTGTGTGTATTCAACTCACAGAGTGGAACCTTCCTTTATTCAGAGCAGTTTTGAAACACTCTTTTTGTGGAATTTGCAAGTGGAGATTTCAAGCGAATTCACGCCCATCTTAGACATGGAAACATCTTCGTATTAAAAGTACACAGAGTCATTCGTAGAAACTAGTTTGTGATGTGTGCCTTCAACTCACAGAGTTTAACCTTTCTTTTCATAGAGCAGTTTGGAAACACTCTATTTGTAAAGTCTGCAAGTGGATATTTGGACCTCTTTGAGGCCTTCGTTGGAAACGGGATTTCTTCATACAACGCTAGACAGAAGAATTCTCAGTAACTTCTTTGTGTTGTTTGTATTCAACTCACAGATTTGAACCTTCCTTTAGAGAGAGCAGATTTGAAACACTCTGTTTTTGGAATTTGCAAGTGCAGATTACAAGCGCTTCTAGGCCTATGGCAGAAAAGGAAATATCTTCGTATAAAAACTACACAGAAATCATTCTCAACAACTACTTTGTGATGTGTGCGTTCAACTCACAAAGTTTAACCTTTCTTTTCATAGAGCAGTTTGGAAACACGCTGTTTGTAAAGCCTGCAAGTGCTTTTTTGGACTTCATTGAGGCCTTCGTTGGAAACGGGATTTCTTCATATAATGCTAGACAGAAGAATTCTCAGTCACTTCTTTGTGTTGTGTGTATTCAAGTCACAGAGTTGAACCTTCCTTTACACAGAGCAGTTTTGAAAAACTCTTTCTGTGGAATTTGCAAGTGGAGATTTCAAGCGATTTGAGGCTAATCTTTGAAATGGAAATATCTTCGTGTAAAAACTACACAGAATCATTCTCAGAAACTGCTTTGTCATCTGTGCGTTCAGTTCACAGAGTTTCACCTTTCTCTTCATAGAGCAGTTTGGAAAGACTCTGTCTGTAAAGTCTGCAAGTGATTAGTTAGACCCCTTTGAGGCCTTCGTTGGAAGCGGGATTTCTCATTTACTGCTAGACAGAAGAATTCTCAGTAAATCCTTCGTGTTGTGTGTATTCAACTCACAGAGTGGAACCTTCCTTTATTCAGAGCAGTTTTGAAACACTCTTTTTGTGGAATTTGCAAGTGGAGATTTCAAGCGAATTCACGCCAATTTTAGACATGGAAACATCTTCGTATTAAAAGTACACAGAGTCATTCGCAGAAACTAGTTTGTGATGTGTGCCTTCAACTCACAGAGTTTAAGCTTTCTTTTCATAGAGCAGTTTGGAAACACTCTATTTGTAAAGTCTGCAAGTGGATATTTGGACCTCTTTGAGGCCTTCGTTGGAAACGGGATTTCTTCATATAACGCTAGACAGAAGAATTCTCTGTAACTTCTTTGTGTTGTGTGTATTCCACTCACAGAGTTGAACCTTTCTTGAGAGAGAGCAGAGTTGAAACACTCTTTCTGTGGAATTTGCTAGTGCAGATTTCAAACGCTTCGAAGACAGTGATAGAAAAGGATATATCTTCGTATTAAAACTAGACAAAATCATTCTCAACAACTACTTTGTGATGTGTGCGTTAAACTCACAGAGTTTAACCTTTCTTTTCGTAGAGCAGTTTGGAAACACTCTGTTTGTAAAGCCTGCAAGTGCTTTTTTGGACTTCATTGAGGCCTTCGTTGGAAACGGGATTTCTTCATATAATGCTAGACAGAAGAATTCTCAGTCACTTCTTTGTGTTGTGTGTATTCAAGTCACAGAGTTGAACCTTCCTTTAGACAGAGCAGTTTTGAAAAATTCTTTCTGTGGAGTTTGCAAGTGGAGATTTCAAGCGATTTGAGGCTAATCTTTGAAATGGAAATATCTTCGTGTAAAAACTACACAGAATCATTCTCAGAAACTGCTTTGTTATCTGTGCGTTCAGTTCACTGAGTTTCACCTTTCTCTTCATAGAGCAGTTTGGAAAGACTGTCTGTAAAGTCTGCAAGTGATTAGTTAGACCCCTTTGAGGCCTTCGTTGGAAGCGGGATTTCTCATTTACTGCTAGACAGAAGAATTCCCATTAAATCCTTTGTGTTGTGTGTATTCAACTCACAGAGTTGAACCTTCCTTTATTCAGAGCAGTTTGAAACACTCTTTTTGTGGAATTTGCAAGTGGAGATTTCAAGCGAATTCACGCCAATCTTAGACATGGAAATATCTTCGTATTAAAAGTACACAGAGTCATTGGCAGAAACTAGTTTGTGATGTGTGCCTTCAACTCACAGAGTTTAATCTTTCTTTTCATAGAGCAGTTTGGAAACACTCTATGTGTGAAGTCTGGAAGTGGATATTTGGACCTCTTTGAGGGCTTCGTTGGAAACGGGATTTCTTCACATAATGCTAGACAGAAGAATTCTCAGTCACATCTTTGTGTTGTGTGGGTTCAAGTCACAGAGTTGAACCTTCCTTTAGACAGAGCAGTTTTGAAAAATTCTTTCTGTGGAATTTGCAAGTGGAGATTTCAAACGATTTGAGGCTAATCTTTGAAATGGAAATATCTTCGTGTAAAAACTACACAGAATCATTCTCAGAAACTGCTTTGTTATCTGTGCGTTCAGCTCACAGAGTTCCACCTTTCTTTTCATAGAGCAGTTTGGAAAGACTCTGTCTGTGAAGTCTGCAAGTGATTACTTGGACCCCTTTGAGGACTTCGTTGGAGGCGGGATTTTGTCATTTACTGCTAGACAGAAGAATTCTCAGTAAATCCTTTTTGTTATGTGTATTCAACTCACAGAGTTGAACCTTCCTTTATTCAGAGAAGTTTTGAAAAACACTTTTTGTGGAATTTGCAAGTGGAGATTTCAAGCGATTTGACGCCAATCTTAGACATGAAAATATCTTCATATTAAAACTACACAGAGTCATTCGCAGAAACTAGTTTGTGATGTGTGCCTTCAACTCACAGAGTTTAAGCTTTCTTTTCATAGAGCAGTTTGGAAACCCTCTATTTGCAAAGTCTGCAAGTGGATATTTGGACCTCTTTGACGGCTTCTTTGGAAACGGGATTTCTTCATATAACGCTAGACAGAAGAATTCTCAGTAACTTCTTTGTGTTGTGTGTATTCAACTCACAGAGTTGAACCTTTCTTTAGAGAGAGCAGAGTTGAAACACTCTGTTTTTGGAATTTGCAAGTGCAGATTTGAAGCGATTCTAGGCCTATGGCAGAAAAGGAAATATCTTCGTATAAAAACTACACAGAATCATTCTCAACAACTAGTTTGTGATGTGTGCGTTCAACTCACAGAGTTTAACCTTTCTTTTCATAGAGCAGTTTGGAAACACTCTGTTTGTAAAGCCTGCAAGTGCTTTTCCGGACTTCATTGAGGCCTTCGTTGGAAACGGGATTTCTTCATATAATGCTAGACAGAAGAATTCTCAGTCACTTCTTTGTGTTGTGTGTATTCAAGTCACAGAGTTGAACCTTCCTTTAGACAGAGCAGTTTTGAAAAATTCTTTCTGTGGAATTTGCAAGTGGAGATTTCAAGCGATTTGAGGCTAATCTTTGAAATGGAAATGTCTTCGTGTAAAAACTACACAGAATCATTCTCAGAAACTGCTTTGTCATCTGTGCGTTCAGTTCACAGAGTTTCACCTTTCTCTTCATAGAGCAGTTTGGAAAGACTCTGTCTGTAAAGTCTGCAAGTGATTAGTTAGACCCCTTTGAGGCCTTCGTTGGAAGCGGGATTTCTCATTTACTGCTAGACAGAAGAATTCTCAGTAAATCCTTTGTGTTGTGTGTATTCAACTCACAGAGTGGAACCTTCCTTTATTCAGAGCAGTTTTGAAACACTCTTTTTGTGGAATTTGCAAGTGGAGATTTCAAGCGATTTGACGCCAATCTTAGACATGGAAATATCTTCATATTAAAAGTACACAGAGTCATTCGCAGAAACTAGTTTGTGATGTGTGCCTTCAACTCACGGAGTTTAACCTTTCTTTTCATAGAGCAGTTTGGAAACACTCTATTTGTAAAGTCTGCAAGTGGATATTTGGACCTCTTTGAGGCCTTCGTTGGAAACGGGATTTCTTCATATAACGCTAGACAGAAGAATTCTCAGTAACTTCTTTGTGTTGTGTGTATTCCACTCACAGAGTTGAAGCTTCCTTGAGAGAGAGCAGAGTTGAAACACTCTGTTTGTGGAATTTGCTAGTGCAGATTTCAAACGCTTCGAAGACAGTGATAGAAAAGGATATATCTTCGTATTAAAACTAGACAAAATCATTCTCAGAAAACACTTTGTGATGTGTGTGTTCAACTCACAGAGTTTAACCTTTCTTTAATCGAGCAGTTTGGAAATACACTCTTTGTAAGTCTGCAGCTGGATAATTGTCCCTCTATGAGCCCTTCGTTGGAAACGGGATTTCCTCTTATAATGCTAGACAGAAGAATTCTCAGTCACTTCTTTGTGTTGTGTGTATTCAAGTCACAGAGTTGAACCTTCCTTTACACAGAGCAGTTTTGAAAAACTCTTTCTGTGGAATTTGCAAGTGGAGATTTCAAGCGATTTGAGGCTAATCTTTGAAATGGAAATAGCTTCGTGTAAAAACTACACAGAAGCTTTCTCAGAAACTGCTTTGTCATCTGTGCGTTCAGTTCACAGAGTTTCACCTTTCTCTTCATAGAGCAGTTTGGAAAGACTCTGTCTTTAAAGTCTGCAAGTGATTAGTTAGACCCCTTTGAGGCCTTCGTTGGAAGCGGGATTTCTCATTTACTTCAAGACAGAAGAATTCTCAGTAAATCCTTTGTGTTGTGTGTATTCAACTCACAGCAGTGGAACCTTCCTTTATTCAGAGCAGTTTTGAAACACTCTTTTTGTGGAATTTGCAAGTGGAGATTTCAAGCGATTTGACGCCAATCTTAGACATGGAAATATCTTCATATTAAAAGTACACAGAATCATTCGTAGAAACTAGTTTGTGATGTGTGCCTTCAACTCACAGAGTTTAACCTTTCTTTTCATAGAGCAGTTCGGAAACATTCTATTTGTAAAGTCTGCAAGTGGATATTTGGACCTCTTTGAGGCCTTCGTTGGAAACGGGATTTCTTCATACAACGCTAGACAGAAGAATTCTCAGTAACTTCTTTGTGTTGTTTGTATTCAACTCACAGAGTTGAACCTTTCTTTAGAGAGAGCAGAGTTGAAACACTCTGTTTTTGGAATTTGCAAGTGCAGATTTCAAGCGATTCTAGGCCTATGGCAGAAAAGGAAATATCTTCGTATAAAAACTACACAGAATCATTCTCAACAACTACTTTGTGATGTGTGCGTTCAACTCATAGAGTTTAACCTTTCTTTTCACAGAGCAGTTTGGAAACACTCTGTTTGTAAAGCCTGCAAGTGCTTTTTTGGACTTCATTGAGGCCTTCGTTGGAAACGGGATTTCTTCATATAATGCTAGACAGAAGAATTCTCAGTCACTTCTTTGTGTTGTGTGTATTCAAGTCACAGAGTTGAACCTTCCTTTAGACAGAGCAGTTTTGAAAAATTCTTTCTGTGGAGTTTGCAAGTGGAGATTTCAAGCGATTTGAGGCTAATCTTTGAAATGGAAATATCTTCGTGTAAAAACTACACAGAATCATTCTCAGAAACTGCTTTGTTATGTGTGCGTTCAGCTCACAGAGTTCCACCTATCTTTTCATAGGGCAGTTTGGAAAGACTCTGTCTGTGAAGTCTGCAAGTGATTACTTGGACCCCTTGGAGGACTTCGTTGGAAGCGGGATTTTTTCATTTACTGCTAGACAGAAGAATTCTCAGTAAATCCTTTGTGTTGTGTGTATTCAACTCACAGAGTGGAACCTTCCTTTATTCAGAGCAGTTTTGAAACACTCTTTTTGTGGAATTTGCAAGTGGAGATTTCAAGCGAATTCACGCCAATCTTAGACATGGAAACATCTTCGTATTAAAAGTACACAGAGTCATTCGCAGAAACTAGTTTGTGATGTGTGCCTTCAACTCACGGAGTTTAACCTTTCTTTTCATAGAGCAGTTTGGAAACACTCTATTTGTAAAGTCTGCAAGTGGATATTTGGACCTCTTTGAGGCCTTCGTTGGAAACGGGATTTCTTCATATAACGCTAGACAGAAGAATTCTCAGTAACTTCTTTGTGTTGTTTGTATTCAACTCACAGATTTGAACCTTCCTTTAGAGAGAGCAGATTTGAAACACTCTGTTTTTGGAATTTGCAAGTGCAGATTTCAAGCGCTTCTAGGCCTATGGCAGAAAAGGAAATATCTTTGTATAAAAACTACACAGAATCATTCTCGACAACTACTTTGTGATGTGTGCGTTCAACTCACAGAGTTTAACCTTTCTTTTCATAGAGCAGTTTGGAAACACTCTGTTTGTAAAGTCTGCAGGTGCTTATTTGGACTTCTTTGAGGCCTTCGTTGGAAACGGGATTTCTTCATATAATGCTAGACAGAAGAATTCTCAGTCACTTCTTTGTGTTGTGTGTATTCAAGTCACAGAGTTGAACCTTCCTTTAGACAGAGCAGTTTTGAAAAATTCTTTCTGTGGAGTTTGCAAGTGGAGATTTCAAGCGATTTGAGGCTAATCTTTGAAATGGAAATATCTTCGTGTAAAAACTACACAGAATCATTGTCAGAAACTGCTTTGTTATGTGTGCGTTCAGCTCACAGAGTTCCACCTTTCTTTTCATAGAGCAGTTTGGAAAGACTCTGTCTGTAAAGTCTGCAAGTGATTACTTGGACCCCTTTGAGGACTTCGTTGGAAGCGGGATTTTTTCATTTACTGCTAGACAGAAGAATTCTCAGTAAATCCTTTGTTTTGTGTGTATTCAACTCACAGAGTGGAACCTTCCTTTATTCAGAGCAGTTTTGAAACACTCTTTTTGTGGAATTTGCAAGTGGAGATTTCAAGCGAATTCACGCCAATCTTAGACATGGAAACATCTTCGTATTAAAAGTACACAGAGTCATTCGTAGAAACTAGTTTGTGATGTGTGCCTTCAACTCACAGAGTTTAACCTTTCTTTTCATAGAGCAGTTTGGAAACACTCTATTTGTAAAGTCTGCAAGTGGATATTTGGACCTCTTTGAGGCCTTCGTTGGAAACGGGATTTCTTCATACAACGCTAGACAGAAGAATTCTCTGTAACTTCTTTGTGTTGTGTGTATTCAACTCACAGAGTTGAACCTTTCTTGAGAGAGAGCAGAGTTGAAACACTCTGTTTGTGGAATTTGATAGTGCAGATTTCAAACGCTTCGAAGACAGTGATAGAAAAGGATATATCTTCGTATTAAAACTAGACAAAATCATTCTCAACAACTACTTTGTGATGTGTGCGTTCAACTCACAGAGTTTAACCTTTCTTTTCATAGAGCAGTTTGGAAACACTCTGTTTGTAAAGCCTGCAAGTGCTTTTTTGGACTTCATTGAGGCCTTCGTTGGAAACGGGATTTCTTCATATAATGCTAGACAGAAGAATTCTCAGTCACTTCTTTGTGTTGTGTGTATTCAAGTCACAGAGTTGAACCTTCCTTTACACAGAACAGTTTTGAAAAACTCTTTCTGTGGAATTTGCAAGTGGAGATTTCAAGCGATTTGAGGCTAATCTTTGAAATGGAAATAGCTTCGTGTAAAAACTACACAGAATCATTCTCAGAAACTGCTTTGTTATGTGTGCGTTCAGCTCACAGAGTTCCACCTTTCTTTTCATAGAGCAGTTTGGAAAGACTCTGTCTGTAAAGTCTGCAAGTGATTACTTGGACCCCTTTGAGGACTTCGTTGGAAGCGGGATTTTTTCATTTACTGCTAGACAGAAGAATTCTCAGTAAATCCTTTGTGTTGTGTGTATTCAACTCACAGAGTGGAACCTTCCTTTATTCAGAGCAGTTTTGAAAAACACTTTTTGTGGAATTTGCAAGTGGAGATTTCAAGCGATTTGACGCCAATCTTAGACATGGAAATATCTTCATATTAAAAGTACACAGAGTCATTCGTAGAAACTAGTTTGTGATGTGTGCCTTCAACTCACAGAGTTTAACCTTTCTTTTCATAGAGCAGTTTGGAAACACTCTATTTGTAAAGTCTGCAAGTGGATATTTGGACCTCTTTGAGGCCTTCGTTGGAAACGGGATTTCTTCATACAACGCTAGACAGAAGAATTCTCAGTAACTTCTTTGTGTTGTTTGTATTCAACTCACAGATTTGAACCTTCCTTTGGAGAGAGCAGATTTGAAACACTCTGTTTTTGGAATTTGCAAGTGCAGATTACAAGCGCTTCTAGGCCTATGGCAGAAAAGGAAATATCTTCGTATAAAAACTACACAGAATCATTCTCAACAACTACTTTGTGATGTGTGCGTTCAACTCACAGAGTTTAACCTTTCTTTTCATAGAGCAGTTTGGAAACACTCTGTTTGTAAAGTCTGCAGGTGCTTATTTGGACTTCTTTGAGGCCTTCGTTGGAAACGGGATTTCTTCATATAATGCTAGACAGAAGAATTCTCAGTCACTTCTTTGTGTTGTGTGTATTCAAGTCACAGAGTTGAACCTTCCTTTACACAGAGCAGTTTTGAAAAACTCTTTCTGTGGAATTTGCAAGTGGAGATTTCAAGCGATTTGAGGCTAATCTTTGAAATGGAAATACCTTCTTATAAAAACTGCACAGAATCATTCTCAGAAACTGCTTTGTTATCTGTGCGTTCAGTTCACACAGTTTCACTTTTCTCTTCATAGAGCAGTTTGGAAAGACTCTGTCTGTAAAGTCTGCAAGTGATTACTTGGACCCCTTTGAGGACTTCGTTGGAAGCGGGATTTTTTCATTTACTGCTAGACAGAAGAATTCTCAGTAAATCCTTTGTGTTGTGTGTATTCAACTCACAGAGTGGAACCTTCCTTTATTCAGAGCAGTTTTGAAACACTCTTTTTGTGGAATTTGCAAGTGGAGATTTCAAGCGAATTCACGCCCATCTTAGACATGGAAACATCTTCGTATTAAAAGTACACAGAGTCATTCGCAGAAACTAGTTTGTGATGTGTGCCTTCAACTCACGGAGTTTAACCTTTCTTTTCATAGAGCAGTTTGGAAACACTCTATTTGTAAAGTCTGCAAGTGGATATTTGGACCTCTTTGAGGCCTTCGTTGGAAACGGGATTTCTTCATATAACGCTAGACAGAAGAATTCTCTGTAACTTCCTTGTGTTGTGTGTATTCCACTCACAGAGTTGAACCTTTCTTGAGAGAGAGCAGATTTGAAACACTCTTTCTGTGGAATTTGCTAGTGCAGATTTCAAACGCTTCGAAGACAGTGATAGAAAAGGATATATCTTCGTATTAAAACTAGACAAAATCATTCTCAACAACTACTTTGTGATGTGTGCGTTCAACTCACAAAGTTTAACTTTTCTTTTCAAAGAGCAGTTTGGAAACACTCTGTTTGTAAAGCCTGCAATTGCTTTTTTGGTCTTCATTGAGGCCTTCGTTGGAAAGGGGATTTCTTCATATAATGCTAGACAGAAGAATTCTCAGTAAATCCTTTGTGTTGTGTGTATTCAACCCACAGAGTGGAACCTTCCTTTATTCAGAGCAGTTTTGAAACACTCTTTTTGTGGAATTTGCAAGTGGAGATTTCAAGCGATTTGACGCCAATCATAGACATGGAAATATCTTCATATTAAAAGTACACAGAATCATTCTCAGAAACTGCTTTGTTATGTGTGCGTTCAGCTCACAGAGTTCCACCTTTCTTTTCATAGAGCAGTTTGGAAAGACTCTGTCTGTAAAGTCTGCAAGTGATTACTTGGACCCCTTTGAGGACTTCGTTGGAAGCGGGATTTTTTCATTTACTGCTAGACAGAAGAATTCTCAGTAAATCCTTTGTGTTGTGTGTATTCAACTCACAGAGTGGAACCTTCCTTTATTCAGAGCAGTTTTGAAACACTCTTTTTGTGGAATTTGCAAGTGGAGATTTCAAGCGAATTCACGCCAATCTTAGACATGGAAACATCTTCGTATTAAAAGTACACAGAGTCATTCGCAGAAACTAGTTTGTGATGTGTGCCTTCAACTCACAGAGTTTAACCTTTCTTTTCATAGAGCAGTTTGGAAACACTCTATTTGTAAAGTCTGCAAGTGGATATTTGGACCTCTTTGAGGCCTTCGTTGGAAACGGGATTTCTTCATATAACGCTAGACAGAAGAATTCTCAGTAACTTCTTTGTGTTGTGTGTATTCCACTCACAGAGTTGAACCTTTCTTGAGAGAGAGCAGAGTTGAAACACTCTGTTTGTGGAATTTGCTAGTGCAGATTTCAAACGCTTCGAAGACAGTGATAGAAAAGGATATATCTTCGTATTAAAACTAGACAAAATCATTCTCAGAAAACACTTTGTGATGTGTGTGTTCAACTCACAGAGTTTAACCTTTCTTTAATCGAGCAGTTTGGAAATACACTCTTTGTAAGTCTGCAGCTGGATAATTGTCCCTCTATGAGCCCTTCGTTGGAAACGGGATTTCCTCTTATAATGCTAAACAGAAGAATTCTCAGTCACTTCTTTGTGTTGTGTGTATTCAAGTCAGAGAGTTGAACCTTCCTTTACACAGAGCAGTTTTGAAAAACTCTTTCTGTGGAATTTGCAAGTGGAGATTTCAAGCGATTTGAGGCTAATCTTTGAAATGGAAATATTCTTCGTGTACAAACTACACAGAATCATTCTCACAAACTGCTTTGTTATGTGTGCGTTCAACTCACAGAGTTTCACCTTTCTTTTCATACAGCAGTTTGGAAAGACTCTGTCTGTAAAGTATGCAAGTGATTACTTGGACCCCTTTGATGACTTCGTTGGAAGCGGGATTTTTTAATTTACTGCTATACAGAAGAATTCTCAGTAAATCCTTTGTGTTGTGTGTATTCAACTCTCAGAGTGGAACCTTCCTTTATTCAGAGCAGTTTTGAAACACTCTTTTTGTGGAATTTGCAAGTGGAGATTTCAAGCGAATTCACGCCAATCTTAGACATGGAAACATCTTCGTATTAAAAGTACACAGAGTCATTCGCAGAAACTAGTTTGTGATGTGTGCCTTCAACTCACAGAGTTTAACCTTTCTTTTCATAGAGCAGTTTGGAAACACTCTATTTGTAAAGTCTGCAAGTGGATATTTGGACCTCTTTGAGGCCTTCGTTGGAAACGGGATTTCTTCATATAACGCTAGACAGAAGAATTCTCAGTAACTTCTTTGTGTTGTGTGTATTCCACTCACAGAGTTGAACCTTTCTTGAGAGAGAGCAGAGTTGAAACACTCTTTTTGTGGAATTTGCTAGTGCAGATTTCAAACGCTTCGAAGACAGTGGTAGAAAAGGATATATCTTCGTATTAAAACTAGACAAAATCATTCTCAGAAAACACTTTGTGATGTGTGTGTTCAACTCACAGAGTTTAACCTTTCTTTAATCGAGCAGTTTGGAAATACACTCTTTGTAATTCTGCAGGTGGATAATTGTCCCTCTATGAGCCCTTCGTTGGAAACGGGATTTCCTCATATAATGCTAGACAGAAGAATTCTCAGTCACTTCTTTGTGTTGTGTGTATTCAAGTCACAGAGTTGAACCTTCCTTTAGACAGAGCAGTTTTGAAAAATTCTTTCTGTGGAGTTTGCAAGTGGAGATTTCAAGCGATTTGAGGCTAATCTTTGAAATGGAAATATCTTCGTGTAAAAACTACACAGAATCATTCTCAGAAACTGCTTTGTTATCTGTGCGTTCAGTTCACAGAGTTTCACCTTTCTCTTCATAGAGCAGTTTGGAAAGACTCTGTCTGTAAAGTCTGCAAGTGATTAGTTAGACCCCTTTGAGGCCTTCGTTGGAAGCGGGATTTCTCATTTACTGCTAGACAGAAGAATTCTCAGTAAATCCTTTGTGTTGTGTGTATTCAACTCACAGAGTGGAACCTTCCTTTATTCAGAGCAGTTTTGAAAAACACTTTTTGTGGAATTTGCAAGTGGAGATTTCAAGCGATTTGACGCCAATCTTAGACATGGAAATATCTTCATATTAAAAGTACACAGAGTCATTCGTAGAAACTAGTTTGTGATGTGTGCCTTCAACTCACAGAGTTTAACCTTTCTTTTCATAGAGCAGTTGGGAAACACTCTATTTGTAAAGTCTGCAAGTGGATATTTGGACCTCTTTGAGGCCTTCGTTGGAAACGGGATTTCTTCATATAACGCTAGACAGAAGAATTCTCAGTAACTTCTTTGTGTTGTTTGTATTCAACTCACAGATTTGAACCTTCCTTTAGAGAGAGCAGATTTGAAACACTCTGTTTTTGGAATTTGCAAGTGCAGATTACAAGCGCTTCTAGGCCTATGGCAGAAAAGGAAATATCTTCGTATAAAAACTACACAGAATCATTCTCAACAACTACTTTGTGATGTGTGCGTTCAGCTCACAGAGTTTAACCTTTCTTTTCATAGAGCAGTTTGGAAACACTCTGTTTGTAAAGTCTGCAGGTGCTTATTTGGACTTCTTTGAGGCCTTCGTTGGAAACGGGATTTCTTCATATAATGCTAGACAGAAGAATTCTCAGTCACTTCTTTGTGTTGTGTGTATTCAAGTCACAGAGTTGAACTTTCCTTTACACAGAGCAGTTTTGAAAAACTCTTTCTGTGGAATTTGCAAGTGGAGATTTCAAGCGATTTGAGGCTAATCTTTGAAATGGAAATAGCTTCGTGTAAAAACTACACAGAATCATTCTCAGAAACTGCTTTGTCATCTGTGCGTTCAGTTCACAGAGTTTCACCTTTCTCTTCATAGAGCAGTTTGGAAAGACTCTGTCTGTAAAGTCTGCAAGTGATTAGTTAGACCCCTTTGAGGCCTTCGTTGGAAGCGGGATTTCTCATTTACTGCTAGACAGAAGAATTCTCAGTAAATCCTTTGTGTTGTGTGTATTCAACTCACAGAGTGGAACCTTCCTTTATTCAGAGCAGTTTTGAAACACTCTTTTTGTGGAATTTGCAAGTGGAGATTTCAAGCGAATTCACGCCAATCTTAGACATGGAAACATCTTCGTATTAAAAGTACACAGAGTCATTCGTAGAAACTAGTTTGTGATGTGTGCCTTCAACTCACAGAGTTTAACTTTTCTTTTCATAGAGCAGTTTGGAAACACTCTGTTTGTAAAGTCTGCAAGTGGATATTTGGACCTCTTTGAGGCCTTCGTTGGAAACGGGATTTCTTCATACAACGCTAGACAGAAGAATTCTCAGTAACTTCTTTGTGTTGTGTGTATTCAACTCACAGAGTTGAACCTTTCTTTAGAGAGAGCAGAGTTGAAACACTCTGTTTTTTGAATTTGCAAGTGCAGATTTCAAGCCATTCTAGGCCTATGGCAGAAAAGGAAATATCTTCGTATAAAAACTACACAGAATCATTCTCAGAAAACACTTTGTGATGTGTGTGTTCAACTCACAGAGTTTAACCTTTCTTTAATCGAGCAGTTTGGAAATACACTCTTTGTAAGTCTGCAGCTGGATAATTGTCCCTCTATGAGCCCTTCGTTGGAAACGGGATTTCCTCATATAATGCTAGACAGAAGAATTCTCAGTCACTTCTTTGTGTTGTGTGTATTCAAGTCACAGAGTTGAACCTTCCTTTACACAGAGCAGTTTTGAAAAACTCTTTCTGTGGAATTTGCAAGTGGAGATTTCAAGCGATTTGAGGCTAATCTTTGAAATGGAAATATCTTCGTGTAAAAACTACACAGAATCATTGTCAGAAACTGCTTTGTTATGTGTGCGTTCAGCTCACAGAGTTCCACCTTTCTTTTCATAGAGCAGTTTGGAAAGACTCTGTCTGTAAAGTCTGCAAGTGATTACTTGGACCCCTTTGAGGACTTCGTTGGAAGCGGGATTTTTTCATTTACTGCTAGACAGAAGAATTCTCAGTAAATCCTTTGTGTTGTGTGTATTCAACTCACAGAGTGAAACCTTCCTTTATTCAGAGCAGTTTTGAAACACTCTTTTTGTGGAAATTGCAAGTGGAGATTTCAAGCGAATTCACGCCAATCTTAGACATGGAAACATCTTCGTATTAAAAGTACACAGAGTCATTCGCAGAAACTAGTTTGTGATGTGTGCCTTCAACTCACGGAGTTTAACCTTTCTTTTCATAGAGCAGTTTGGAAACACTCTATTTGTAAAGTCTGCAAGGGGATATTTGGACCTCTTTGAGGCCTTCGTTGGAAACGGGATTTCTTCATATAACGCTAGACAGAAGAATTCTCAGTAACTTCTTTGTGTTGTTTGTATTCAACTCACAGATTTGAACCTTCCTTTAGAGAGAGCAGATTTGAAACACTCTGTTATTGGAATTTGCAAGTGCAGATTACAAGCGCTTCTAGGCCTATGGCAGAAAAGGAAATATCTTCGTATAAAAACTACACAGAATCATTCTCAAAAACTACTTTGTGATGTGCGTGTTCAACTCACAGAGTTTAACCTTTCTTTTCATAGAGCAGTTTGGAAACACTCTGTTTGTAAAGTCTGCAGGTGCTTATGTGGACTTCTTTGAGGCCTTCGTTGGAAACGGGATTTCTTCATATAATGCTAGACAGAAGAATTCTCAGTCACTTCTTTGTGTTGTGTGTATTCAAGTCACACAGTTGAACCTTCCTTTACACAGAGCAGTTTTGAAAAACTCTTTCTGTGGAATTTGCAAGTGGAGATTTCAAGGGATTTCAGGCTAATCTTTGAAATGGAAATATCTTCGTGTGAAAACTACACAGAATCATTCTCAGAAACTGCTTTGTTATGTGTGCGTTCAGCTCACAGAGTTCCACCTTTCTTTTCATAGAGCAGTTTGGAAAGACTCTGTCTGTAAAGTCTGCAAGTGATTACTTGGACCCCTTTGAGGACTTCGTTGGAAGCGGGATTTTTTCATTTACTGCTAGACAGAAGAATTCTCAGTAAATCCTTTGTGTTGTGTGTATTCAACTCACAGAAGTGGAACCTTCCTTTATTCAGAGCAGTTTTGAAAAACACTTTTTGTGGAATTTGCAAGTGGAGATTTCAAGCGATTTGACGTCAATCTTAGACATGGAAATATCTTCATATTAAAAGTACACAGAGTCATTCGCAGAAACTAGTTTGTGATGTGTGCCTTCAACTCACGGAGTTTAACCTTTCTTTTCATAGAGCAGTTTGGAAACACTCTATTTGTAAAGTCTGCAAGTGGATATTTGGACCTCTTTGAGGCCTTCGTTGGAAACGGGATTTCTTCATATAACGCTAGACAGAAGAATCCTCAGTAACTTCTTTGTGTTGTTTGTATTCAACTCACAGATTTGAACCTTCCTTTAGAGAGAGCAGATTTGAAACACTCTGGTTTTGGAATTTGCAAGTGCAGATTACAAGCGCTTCTAGGCCTATGGCAGAAAAGGAAATATCTTCGTATAAAAACTACACAGAATCATTCTCAACAACTACTTTGTGATGTGTGCGTTCAACTCACAGAGTTTAACCTTTCTTTTCATAGAGCAGTTTGGAAACACTCTGTTTGTAAAGTCTGCAGGTGCTTATTTGGACTTCTTTGAGGCCTTTGTTGGAAACGGGATTTCTTCATATAATGCTAGACAGAAGAATTCTCAGTCACTTCTTTGTGTTGTGTGTATTCAAGTCACAGAGTTGAACCTTCCTTTACACAGAGCAGTTTTGAAAAACTCTTTCTGTGGAATTTGCAAGTGGAGATTTCAAGCGATTTGAGGCTAATCTTTGGAATGGAAATAGCTTCGTGTAAAAACTACACAGAATCATTGTCAGAAACTGCTTTGTTATGTGTGCGTTCAGCTCACAGAGTTCCACCTTTCTTTTCATAGAGCAGTTTGGAAAGACTCTGTCTGTAAAGTCTGCAAGTGATTACTTGGACCCCTTTGAGGACTTCGTTGGAAGCGGGATTTTTTCATTTACTGCTAGACAGAAGAATTCTCAGTAAATCCTTTGTGTTGTGTGTATTCAACTCACAGAGTGGAACCTTCCTTTATTCAGAGCACTTTTGAAACACTCTTTTTGTGGAATTTGCAAGTGGAGATTTCAAGCGAATTCACGCCAATCTTAGACATGGAAACATCTTCGTATTAAAAGTACACAGAGTCATTCGCAGAAACTAGTTTGTGATGTGTGCCTTCAACTCACGGAGTTTAACCTTTCTTTTCATAGAGCAGTTTGGAAACACTCTATTTGTAAAGTCTGCAAGTGGATATTTGGACCTCTTTGAGGCCTTCGTTGGAAACGGGATTTCTTCATATAACGCTAGACAGAAGAATTCTCAGTAACTTCTTTGTGTTGTTTGTATTCAACTCACAGATTTGAACCTTCCTTTAGAGAGAGCAGATTTGAAACACTCTGTTTTTGGAATTTGCAAGTGCAGATTACAAGCGCTTCTAGGCCTATGGCAGAAAAGGAAATATCTTCGTATAAAAACTACACAGAATCATTCTCAACAACGACTTTGTGATGTGTGCGTTCAACTCACAGAGTTTAACCTTTCTTTTCATAGAGCAGTTTGGAAACACTCTGTTTGTAAAGCCTGCAAGTGCTTTTTTGGACTTCATTGAGGCCTTCGTTGGAAACGGGATTTCTTCATGTAATGCTAGACAGAAGAATTCTCAGTCACTTCTTTGTGTTGTGTGTATTCAAGTCACAGAGTTGAACCTTCATTTAGACAGAGCAGTTTTGAAAAACTCTTTCTGTGGAATTTGCAAGTGGAGATTACATGCGATTTAAGGCCAATCTTTGAAATGGAAATATCTCCGTGTAAAAACTAGACAGAATCATTCTCAGAAACTGCTTTGTCATCTGTGCGTTCAGTTCACAGAGTTTCACCTTTCTCTTCATAGAGCAGTTTGGAAAGACTCTGTCTGTAAAGTCTGCAAGTGATTAGTTAGACCCCTTTGAGGCCTTCGTTGGAAGCGGGATTTCTCATTTACTGCTAGACAGAAGAATTCTCAGTAAATCCTTTGTGTTGTGTGTATTCAACTCACAGAGTGGAACCTTCCTTTATTCAGAGCAGTTTTGAAACACTCTTTTGGTGGAATTTGCAAGTGGAGATTTCAAGCGAATTCACGCCAATCTTAGACATGGAAACATCTTCGTATTAAAAGTACACAGAGTCATTCGTAGAAACTAGTTTGTGATGTGTGCCTTCAACTCACAGAGTTTAACCTTTCTTTTCATAGAGCAGTTTGGAAACACTCTGTTTGTAAAGTCTGCAAGTGGATATTTGGACCTCTTTGAGGCCTCCGTTGGAAACGGGATTTCTTCATACAACGCTAGACAGAAGAATTCTCAGTAACTTCTTTGTGTTGTGTGTATTCAACTCACAGAGTTGAACCTTTCTTTAGAGAGAGCAGAGTTGAAACACTCTGTTTTTGGAATTTGCAAGTGCAGATTTCAAGCGATTCTAGGCCTATGGCAGAAAAGGAAATATCTTCGTATAAAAACTACACAGAATCATTCTCAACAACTACTTTGTGATGTGTGCGTTCAACTCACAGAGTTTAACCTTTCTTTTCATAGAGCAGTTTGGAAACACTCTGTTTGTAAAGTCTGCAGGTGCTTATTTGGACTTCTTTGAGGCCTTCGTTGGAAACGGGATTTCTTCATATAATGCTAGACAGAAGAATTCTCAGTCACTTCTTTGTGTTGTGTGTATTCAAGTCACAGAGTTGAACCTTCCTTTACACAGAGCAGTTTTGAAAAACTCTTTCTGTGGAATTTGCAAGTGGAGATTTCAAGCGATTTGAGGCTAATCTTTGAAATGGAAATATCTTCGTGTAAAAACTACACAGAATCATTCTCAGAAACTGCTTTGTTATGTGTGCGTTCAGCTCACAGAGTTCCACCTTTCTTTTCATAGAGCAGTTTGGAAAGACTCTGTCTGTAAAGTCTGCAAGTGATTACTTGGACCCCTTTGAGGACTTCGTTGGAAGCGGGATTTTTTCATTTACTGCTAGACAGAAGAATTCTCAGTAAATCATTTGTGTTGCGTTTATTCAACTCACAGAGTGGAACCTTCCTTTATTCAGAGCAGTTTTGAAACACTCTTTTTGTGGAATTTGCAAGTGGAGATTTCAAGCGATTTGACGCCAATCTTAGACATGGAAATATCTTCATATTAAAAGTACACAGAGTCATTCGTAGAAACTAGTTTGTGATGTGTGCCTTCAACTCACAGAGTTTAACCTTTCTTTTCATAGAGCAGTTGGGAAACACTCTATTTGTAAAGTCTGCAAGTGGATATTTGGACCTCTTTGAGGCCTTCGTTGGAAACGGGATTTCTTCATATAACGCTAGACAGAAGAATTCTCAGTAACTTCTTTGTGTTGTGTGTATTCAACTCACAGAGTTGAACCTTTCTTTAGAGAGAGCAGAGTTGAAACACTCTGTTTTTGGAATTTGCAAGTGCAGATTTCAAGCGATTCTAGGCCTATGGCAGAAAAGGAAATATCTTCGTATAAAAACTACACAGAATCATTCTCAACAACTACTTTGTGATGTGTGCGTTCAACTCACAGAGTTTAACCTTTCTTTTCATAGAGCAGTTTGGAAACACTCTGTTTGTAAAGCCTGCAAGTGCTTTTTTGGACTTCATTGAGGCCTTCGTTGGAAACGGGATTTCTTCATATAATGCTAGACAGAAGAATTCTCAGTCACTTCTTTGTGTTGTGTGTATTCAAGTCACAGAGTTGAACCTTCCTTTAGACAGAGCAGTTGTGAAAAATTCTTTCTGTGGAATTTGCAAGTGGAGATTTCAAGCGATTTGAGGCTAATCTGTGAAATGGAAATATCTTCATGTAAAAACTACACAGAATCATTCTCAGAAACTGCTTTGTTATGTGTGCGTTCAGCTCACAGAGTTCCACCTTTCTTTTCATAGGGCAGTTTGGAAAGACTCTGTCTGTGAAGTCTGCAAGTGATTACTTGGACCCCTTGGAGGACTTCGTTGGAAGCGGGATTTTTTCATTTACTGCTAGACAGAAGAGTTCTCAGTAAATCCTTTGTGTTGTGTGTATTCAACTCACAGAGTTGAACCTTCCTTTATTCAGAGAAGTTTTGAAAAACACTTTTTGTGGAATTTGCAAGTGGAGATTTCAAGCGATTTGACGCCAATCTTAGACATGGAAATTTCTTCATATTAAAAGTACACAGAGTCATTCGCAGAAACTAGTTTGTGATGTGTGCCTTCAACTCACGGAGTTTAACCTTTCTTTTCATAGAGCAGTTTGGAAACACTCTATTTGTAAAGTCTGCAAGTGGATATTTGGACGTCTTTGAGGCCTTCGTTGGAAACGGGATTTCTTCATATAACGCTAGACAGAAGAATTCTCAGTAACTTCTTTGTGTTGTGTGTATTCAACTCACAGAGTTGAACCTTTCTTTAGAGGGAGCAGAGGTGAAACACTCTTTTTGTGGAATTTGCTAGTGTAGATTTCAAACGCTTCGAAGACAGTGATAGAAAAGGATATATCTTCGTATTAAAAGTAGACAAAATCATTCTCAGAAAACTCTTTGTGATGTGTGTGTTCAACTCACAGAGTTTAACCTTTCTTTAATCGAGCAGTTTGGAAATACACTCTTTGTAAGTCTGCAGGTGGATATTTGGCCCTCTTTGAGCCCTTTGTTGGAAACGGGATTTCCTCATATAATGCTAGACAGAAGAATTCTCAGTAACTTCTTTGTGTTGTTTGTATTCAACACACAGATTTGAACCTTCATTTAGAGAGAGCAGATTTGAAACACTCTGTTTTTGGAATTTGCAAGTGCAGATTTCAAGCGCTTCTAGGCCTATGGCAGAAAAGGAAATATCTTCGTATAAAAACTACACAGAATCATTCTCAACAACTACTTTGTGATGTGTGCGTTCAACTCACAGAGTTTAACCTTTCTTTTCATAGAGCAGTTTGGAAACACTCTGTTTGTAAAGCCTGCAAGTGCTTTTTTGGACTTCATTGAGGCCTTCGTTGGAAACGGGATTTCTTCATATAATGCTAGACAGAAGAATTCTCAGTCACTTCTTTGTGTTGTGTGGATTCAAGTCACAGAGTTGAACCTTCCTTTACACAGAGCAGTTTTGAAAAACTCTTTCTGTGGAATTTGCAAGTGGAGATTTCAAGCGATTTGAGGCTAATCTTTGAAATGGAAATATCTTCGTGTAAAAACTACACAGAATCATTCTCAGAAACTGCTTTGTCATCTGTGCGTTCAGTTCACAGAGTTTCACCTTTCTCTTCATAGAGCAGTTTGGAAAGACTCTGTCTGTAAAGTCTGCAAGTGATTAGTTAGACCCCTTTGAGGCCTTCGTTGGAAGCGGGATTTCTCATTTACTGCTAGACAGAAGAATTCTCAGTAAATCCTTTGTGTTGTGTGTATTCAACTCACAGAGTGGAACCTTCCTTTATTCAGAGCAGTTTTGAAACACTCTTTTTGTGGAATTTGCAAGTGGAGATTTCAAGCGAATTCACGCCAATCTTAGACATGGAAACATCTTCGTATTAAAAGTACACAGAGTCATTCGTAGAAACTAGTTTGTGATGTGTGCCTTCAACTCACAGAGTTTAACCTTTCTTTTCATAGAGCAGTTGGGAAACACTCTATTTGTAAAGTCTGCAAGTGGATATTTGGACCTCTTTGAGGCCTTCGTTGGAAACGGGATTTCTTCATATAACGCTAGACAGAAGTATTCTCAGTAACTTCTTTGTGTTGTTTGTATTCAACTCACAGATTTGAAACTTCCTTTAGAGAGAGCAGATTTGAAACACTCTGTTTTTGGAATTTGCAAGTGCAGATTGCAAGCGCTTCTAGGCCTATGGCAGAAAAGGAAATATCTTCGTATAAAAACTACACAGAATCATTCTCAACAACTAC
The DNA here is from genome assembly GCF_000001405.40 of Homo sapiens. Taxonomy (NCBI): domain Eukaryota; kingdom Metazoa; phylum Chordata; class Mammalia; order Primates; family Hominidae; genus Homo; species Homo sapiens. The sequence continues at coordinate 41,153,177 of NC_000010.11, forward strand.
TTTGTGATGTGTGCGTTCAACTCACAGAGTTTAACCTTTCTTTTCATAGAGCAGTTTCGAAACACTCTGTTTGTAAAGTCTGCAGGTGCTTATTTGGACTTCTTTGAGGCCTTCGTTGGAAACGGGATTTCTTCATATAATGCTAGACAGAAGAATTCTCAGTCACCTCTTTGTGTTGTGTGTATTCAAGTCACAAAGTTGAACCGTCCTTTAGACAGAGCAGTTGTGGAAAACTCTTTCTGTGGAATTTGCAAGTGGAGATTTCAAGCGATTTGAGGCTAATCTTTGAAATGGAAATATCTTCGTGTAAAAACTACACAGAATCATTCTCAGAAACTGCTTTGTTATGTGTGCGTTCAGCTCACAGAGTTCCACCTTTCTTTTCATAGAGCAGGTTGGAAAGACTCTGTCTGTAAAGTCTGCAAGTGATTACTTGGACCCCTTTGAGGACTTCTTTGGAAGCGGGATTTTTTCATTTACTGCTAGACAGAAGAATTCTCAGTAAATCCTTTGTGTTGTGTGTATTCAACTCACAGAGTGGAACCTTCCTTTATTCAGAGCACTTTTGAAAAACACTTTTTGTGGAATTTGCAAGTGGAGATTTCAAGCGATTTGACGCCAATCTTAGACATGGAAATATCTTCATATTAAAAGTACACAGAGTCATTCGCAGAAACTAGTTTGTGATGTGTGCCTTCAACTCACGGAGTTTAACCTTTCTTTTCATAGAGCAGTTTGGAAACACTCTATTTGTAAAGTCTGCAAGTGGATATTTGGACCTCTTTGAGGCCTTCGTTGGAAACGGGATTTCTTCATATAACGCTAGACAGAAGAATTCTCAGTAACTTCTTTCTGTTGTTTGTATTCAACTCACAGATTTGAACCTTCCTTTAGAGAGAGCAGATTGCACACACTCTGTTTTTGGAATTTGCAAGTGCAGATTTCAAGCGCTTCTAGGCCTATGGCAGAAAAGGGAATATCTTCGTATAAAAACTACACAGAATCATTCTCAACAACTACTTTGTGATGTGTGCGTTCAACTCACAAAGTTTAACCTTTCTTTTCATAGAGCAGTTTGGAAACACTCTGTTTGTAAAGCCTGCAATTGCTTTTTTGGACTTCATTGAGGCCTTCGTTGGAAACGGGATTTCTTCATATAATGCTAGACAGAAGAATTCTCAGTCACTTCTTTGTGTTGTGTGTATTCAAGTCACAGAGTTGAACCTTCCTTTACACAGAGCAGTTTTGAAAAACTCTTTCTGTGGAATTTGCAAGTGGAGATTTCAAGCGATTTGAGGCTAATCTTTGAAATGGAAATAGCTTCGTGTAAAAACTACACAGAATCATTCTCAGAAACTGCTTTGTTATGTGTGCGTTCAGCTCACAGAGTTCCACCTTTCTTTTCATAGAGCAGTTTGGAAAGACTCTGTCTGTAAAGTCTGCAAGTGATTACTTGGACCCCTTTGAGGACTTCGTTGGAAGCGGGATTTTTTCATTTACTGCTAGACAGAAGAATTCTCAGTAAATCCTTTGTGTTGTGTGTATTCAACTCACAGAGTGGAACCTTCCTTTATTCAGAGCAGTTTTGAAAAACACTTTTTGTGGAATTTGCAAGTGGAGATTTCAAGCGATTTGACGCCAATCTTAGACATGGAAATATCTTCATATTAAAAGTACACAGAGTCATTCGTAGAAACTAGTTTGTGATGTGTGCCTTCAACTCACAGAGTTTAACCTTTCTTTTCATAGAGCAGTTGGGAAACACTCTATTTGTAAAGTCTGCAAGTGGATATTTGGACCTCTTTGAGGCCTTCGTTGGAAACGGGATTTCTTCATATAACGCTAGACAGAAGAATTCTCAGTAACTTCTTTGTGTTGTTTGTATTCAACTCACAGATTTGAACCTTCCTTTAGAGAGAGCAGATTTGAAACACTCTGTTTTTGGAATTTGCAAGTGCAGATTGCAAGCGCTTCTAGGCCTATGGCAGAAAAGGAAATATCTTCGTATAAAAACTACACAGAATCATTCTCAACAACTACTTTGTGATGTGTGCGTTCAACTCACAGAGTTTAACCTTTCTTTTCATAGAGCAGTTTGGAAACACTCTGTTTGTAAAGCCTGCAAGTGCTTTTTTGGACTTCATTGAGGCCTTCGTTGGAAACGGGATTTCTTCATATAATGCTAGACAGAAGAATTCTCAGTCACTTCTTTGTGTTGTGTGTATTCAAGTCACAGAGTTGAACCTTCCTTTACACAGAGCAGTTTTGAAAAACTCTTTCTGTGGAATTTGCAAGTGGAGATTTCAAGCGATTTGAGGCTAATCTTTGAAATGGAAATAGCTTCGTGTAAAAACTACACAGAATCATTCTCAGAAACTGCTTTGTCATCTGTGCGTTCAGTTCACAGAGTTTCACCTTTCTCTTCATAGAGCAGTTTGGAAAGACTCTGTCTGTAAAGTCTGCAAGTGATTAGTTAGACCCCTTTGAGGCCTTCGTTGGAAGCGGGATTTCTCATTTACTGCTAGACAGAAGAATTCTCAGTAAATCCTTTGTGTTGTGTGTATTCAACTCACAGAGTGGAACCTTCCTTTATTCAGAGCACTTTTGAAACACTCTTTTTGTGGAATTTGCAAGTGGAGATTTCAAGCGAATTCACGCCAATCTTAGACATGGAAACATCTTCGTATTAAAAGTACACAGAGTCATTCGTAGAAACTAGTTTGTGATGTGTGCCTTCAACTCACAGAGTTTAACCTTTCTTTTCATAGAGCAGTTGGGAAACACTCTATTTGTAAAGTCTGCAAGTGGATATTTGGACCTCTTTGAGGCCTTCGTTGGAAACGGGATTTCTTCATATAACGCTAGACAGAAGAATTCTCAGTAACTTCTTTGTGTTGTTTGTATTCAACTCACAGATTTGAACCTTCCTTTAGAGAGAGCAGATTTGAAACACTCTGTTTTTGGAATTTGCAAGTGCAGATTACAAGCGCTTCTAGGCCTATGGCAGAAAAGGAAATATCTTCGTATAAAAACTACACAGAATCATTCTCAGAAAACACTTTGTGATGTGTGTGTTCAACTCACAGAGTTTAACCTTTCTTTAATCGAGCAGTTTGGAAATACACTCTTTGTAAGTCTGCAGCTGGATAATTGTCCCTCTATGAGCCCTTCGTTGGAAACGGGATTTCCTCTTATAATGCTAGACAGAAGAATTCTCAGTCACTTCTTTGTGTTGTGTGTATTCAAGTCACAGAGTTGAACCTTCCTTTAGACAGAGCAGTTTTGAAAAATTCTTTCTGTGGAGTTTGCAAGTGGAGATTTCAAGCGATTTGAGGCTAATCTTTGAAATGGAAATATCTTCGTGTAAAAACTACACAGAATCATTCTCAGAAACTGCTTTGTCATCTGTGCGTTCAGTTCACAGAGTTTCACCTTTCTCTTCATAGAGCAGTTTGGAAAGACTCTGTCTGTAAAGTCTGCAAGTGATTAGTTAGACCCCTTTGAGGCCTTCGTTGGAAGCGGGATTTCTCATTTACTGCTAGACAGAAGAATTCTCAGTAAATCCTTTGTGTTGTGTGTATTCAACTCACAGAGTGGAACCTTCCTTTATTCAGAGCAGTTTTGAAACACTCTTTTTGTGGAATTTGCAAGTGGAGATTTCAAGCGAATTCACGCCAATCTTAGACATGGAAACATCTTCGTATTAAAAGTACACAGAGTCATTCGCAGAAACTAGTTTGTGATGTGTGCCTTCAACTCACAGAGTTTAACCTTTCTTTTCATAGAGCAGTTTGGAAACACTCTATTTGTAAAGTCTGCAAGTGGATATTTGGACCTCTTTGAGGCCTTCGTTGGAAACGGGATTTCTTCATATAACGCTAGACAGAAGAATTCTCAGTAACTTCTTTGTGTTGTGTGTATTCCACTCACAGAGTTGAACCTTTCTTGAGAGAGAGCAGAGTTGAAACACTCTGTTTGTGGAATTTGCTAGTGCAGATTTCAAACGCTTCGAAGACAGTGATAGAAAAGGATATATCTTCGTATTAAAACTAGACAAAATCATTCTCAGAAAACACTTTGTGATGTGTGTGTTCAACTCACAGAGTTTAACCTTTCTTTAATCGAGCAGTTTGGAAATACACTCTTTGTAAGTCTGCAGCTGGATAATTGTCCCTCTATGAGCCCTTCGTTGGAAACGGGATTTCCTCTTATAATGCTAGACAGAAGAATTCTCAGTCACTTCTTTGTGTTGTGTGTATTCAAGTCACAGCAGTTGAACCTTCCATTACACAGAGCAGTTTTGAAAAACTCTTTCTGTGGAATTTGCAAGTGGAGATGTCAAGCGATTTGAGGCTAATCTTTGAAATGGAAATATCTTCGTGTAAAAACTACACAGAATCATTCTCAGAAACTGCTTTGTCATCTGTGCGTTCAGTTCACAGAGTTTCACCTTTCTCTTCATAGAGCAGTTTGGAAAGACTCTGTCTGTAAAGTCTGCAAGTGATTAGTTAGACCCCTTTGAGGCCTTCGTTGGAAGCGGGATTTCTCATTTACTGCTAGACAGAAGAATTCTCAGTAAATCCTTTGTGTTGTGTGTATTCAACTCACAGAGTGGAACCTTCCTTTATTCAGAGCAGTTTTGAAACACTCTTTTTGTGGAATTTGCAAGTGGAGATTTCAAGCGATTTGACGCCAATCTTAGACATGGAAATATCTTCATATTAAAAGTACACAGAGTCATTCGCAGAAACTAGTTTGTGATGTGTGCCTTCAACTCACGGAGTTTAACCTTTCTTTTCATAGAGCAGTTTGGAAACACTCTATTTGTAAAGTCTGCAAGTGGATATTTGGACCTCTTTGAGGCCTTCGTTGGAAACGGGATTTCTTTATATAACGCTAGACAGAAGAATTTTCAGTAACTTCTTTGTGTTGTGTGTATTCAACTCACAGAGTTCAACTTTTCTTTAGAGAGAGCAGGGTTGAAACACTCTTTTTGTGGAATTTGCTAGTGCAGATTTCAAACGCTTCGAAGACAGTGATAGCAAAGGATATATCTTCGTATTAAAACTAGACAAAATCATTCTCAGAAAACACTTTGTGATGTGTGTGTTCAACTCACAGAGTTTAACCTTTCTTTAATCGAGCAGTTTGGAAATACACTCTTTGTAAGTCTGCAGGTGGATAATTGGCCCCCTTTGAGCCCTTCGTTGGAAACGGGATTTCCTCATATAATGCTAGACAGAAGAATTCTCAGTAACTTCTTTGTGTTGTTTGTATTCAACTCACAGATTTGAACCTTCCTTTAGAGAGAGCAGATTTGAAACACTCTGTTTTTGGAATTTGCAAGTGCAGATTTCAAGCGCTTCTAGGCCTATGGCAGAAAAGGAAATATCTTCGTATAAAAACTACACAGAATCATTCTCAACAACTACTTTGTGATGTGTGCGTTCAACTCACAGAGTTTAACCTTTCTTTTCATAGAGCAGTTTGGAAACACTCTGTTTGTAAAGCCTGCAAGTGCTTTTTTGGACTTCATTGAGGCCTTCGTTGGAAACGGGATTTCTTCATATAATGCTAGACAGAAGAATTCTCAGTCACTTCTTTGTGTTGTGTGTATTCAAGTCACAGAAGTTGAACCTTCCTTTACACAGAGCAGTTTTGAAAAACTCTTTCTGCGGAATTTGCAAGTGGAGATTTCAAGCGATTTGAGGCTAATCTTTGAAATGGAAATATCTTCGTGTAAAAACTACACAGAATCATTCTCAGAAACTGCTTTGTTATGTGTGCGTTCAGCTCACAGAGTTCCACCTTTCTTTTCATAGAGCAGTTTGGAAAGACTCTGTCTGTAAAGTCTGCAAGTGATTACTTGGACCCCTTTGAGGACTTCGTTGGAAGCGGGATTTTTTCATTTACTGCTATACAGAAGAATTCTCAGTAAATCCTTTGTGTTGTGTGTATTCAACTCTCAGAGTGGAACCTTCCTTTATTCAGAGCAGTTTTGAAACACTCTTTTTGTGGAATTTGCAAGTGGAGATTTCAAGCGAATTCACGCCAATCTTAGACATGGAAACATCTTCGTATTAAAAGTACACAGAGTCATTCGCAGAAACTAGTTTGTGATGTGTGCCTTCAACTCACGGAGTTTAACCTTTCTTTTCATAGAGCAGTTTGGAAACACTCTATTTGTAAAGTCTGCAAGTGGATATTTGGACCTCTTTGAGGCCTTCGTTGGAAACGGGATTTCTTCATATAACGCTAGACAGAAGAATTTTCAGTAACTTCTTTGTGTTGTGTGTATTCAACTCACAGAGTTCAACTTTTCTTTAGAGAGAGCAGAGTTGAAACACTCTTTTTGTGGAATTTGCTAGAGCAGATTTCAAACGCTTCGAAGACAGTGATAGCAAAGGATATATCTTCGTATTAAAACTAGACAAAATCATTCTCAACAACTACTTTGTGATGTGTGCGTTCAACTCACAGAGTTTAACCTTTCTTTTCATAGAGCAGTTTGGAAACACTCTGTTTGTAAAGTCTGCAGGTGCTTATTTGGACTTCTTTGAGGCCTTCGTTGGAAACGGGATTTCTTCATATAATGCTAGACAGAAGAATTCTCAGTCACTTCTTTGTGTTGTGTGTATTCAAGTCACAGAGTTGAACCTTCCTTTACACAGAGCAGTTTTGAAAAACTCTTTCTGTGGAATTTGCAAGTGGAGATTTCAAGCGATTTGAGGCTAATCTTTGAAATGGAAATATCTTCGTGTAAAAACTACACAGAATCATTGTCAGAAACTGCTTTGTTATGTGTGCGTTCAGCTCACAGAGTTCCACCTTTCTTTTCATAGAGCAGTTTGGAAAGACTCTGTCTGTAAAGTCTGCAAGTGATTACTTGGACCCCTTTGAGGACTTCGTTGGAAGCGGGATTTTTTCATTTACTGCTAGACAGAAGAATTCTCAGTAAATCCTTTGTGTTGTGTGTATTCAACTCACAGAGTGGAACCTTCCTTTATTCAGAGCACTTTTGAAACACTCTTTTTGTGGAAATTGCAAGTGGACATTTCAAGCGAATTCACGCCAATCTTAGACATGGAAACATCTTCGTATTGAAAGTACACAGAGTCATTCGCAGAAACTAGTTTGTGATGTGTGCCTTCAACTCACGGAGTTTAACCTTTCTTTTCATAGAGCAGTTTGGAAACACTCTCTTTGTAAAGTCTGCAAGTGGATATTTGGACCTCTTTGAGGCCTTCGTTGGAAACGGGATTTCTTCATATAACGCTAGACAGAAGAATTCTCAGTAACTTCTTTGTGTTGTTTGTATTCAACTCACAGATTTGAACCTTCCTTTAGAGAGAGCAGATTTGAAACACTCTGTTTTTGGAATTTGCAAGTGCAGATTACAAGCGCTTCTAGGCCTATGGCAGAAAAGGAAATATCTTCGTATAAAAACTACACAGAATCATTCTCAGAAAACTCTTTGTGATGTGTGTGTTCAACTCACAGAGTTTAACCTTTCTTTAATCGAGCAGTTTGGAAATACACTCTTTGTAAGTCTGCAGGTGGATATTTGGCCCTCTTTGAGCCCTTCGTTGGAAACGGGATTTCCTCATATAATGCTAGACAGAAGAATTCTCAGTCACTTCTTTGTGTTGTGTGTATTCAAGTCACAGAGTTGAACCTTCCTTTAGACAGAGCAGTTTTGAAAAATTCTTTCTGTGGAGTTTGCAAGTGGAGATTTCAAGCGATTTGAGGCTAATCTTTGAAATGGAAATATCTTCGTGTAAAAACTACACAGAATCATTCTCAGAAACTGCTTTGTTATGTGTGCGTTCAGCTCACAGAGTTTCACCTTTCTTTTCATAGAGCAGTTTGGAAAGACACTGTCTGTAAAGTCTGCAAGTGATTACTTGGACCCCTTTGAGGACTTCGTTGGAAGCGGGATTTTTTCATTTACTGCTAGACAGAAGAATTCTCAGTAAATCCTTTGTGTTGTGTGTATTCAACTCACAGAGTGGAACCTTCCTTTATTCAGAGCAGTTTTGAAACACTCTTTTTGTGGAATTTGCAAGTGGAGATTTCAAGCGAATTCACGCCAATCTTAGACATGGAAACATCTTCGTATTAAAAGTACACAGAGTCATTCGCAGAAACTAGTTTGTGATGTGTGCCTTCAACTCACAGAGTTTAACCTTTCTTTTCATAGAGCAGTTTGGAAACACTCTATTTGTAAAGTCTGCAAGTGGATATTTGGACCACTTTGAGGCCTTCGTTGGAAACGGGATTTCTTCATATAACGCTAGACAGAAGAATTCTCAGTAACTTCTTTGTGTTGTGTGTATTCAACTCACAGAGTTGAACCTTTCTTGAGAGAGAGCAGAGTTGAAACACTCTGTTTGTGGAATTTGCTAGTGCAGATTTCAAACGCTTCGAAGACAGTGATAGAAAAGGATATATCTTCGTATTAAAACTAGACAAAATCATTCTCAGAAAACACTTTGTGATGTGTGTGTTCAACTCACAGAGTTTAACCTTTCTTTAATCGAGCAGTTTGGAAATACACTCTTTGTAAGTCTGCAGCTGGATAATTGTCCCTCTATGAGCCCTTCGTTGGAAACGGGATTTCCTCTTATAATGCTAGACAGAAGAATTCTCAGTCACTTCTTTGTGTTGTGTGTATTCAAGTCACAGAGTTGAACTTTCCTTTACACAGAGCAGTTTTGAAAAACTCTTTCTGTGGAATTTGCAAGTGGAGATTTCAAGCGATTTGAGGCTAATCTTTGAAATGGAAATAGCTTCGTGTAAAAACTACACAGAATCATTCTCAGAAACTGCTTTGTTATGTGTGCGTTCAGCTCACAGAGTTCCACCTTTCTTTTCATAGAGCAGTTTGGAAAGACTCTGTCTGTAAAGTCTGCAAGTGATTACTTGGACCCCTTTGAGGACTTCGTTGGAAGCGGGATTTTTTCATTTACTGCTAGACAGAAGAATTCTCAGTAAATCCTTTGTGTTGTGTGTATTCAACTCACAGAGTGGAACCTTCCTTTATTCAGAGCAGTTTTGAAACACTCTTTTTGTGGAATTTGCAAGTGGAGATTTCAAGCGAATTCACGCCAATCTTAGACATGGAAACATCTTCGTATTAAAAGTACACAGAATCATTCGTAGAAACTAGTTTGTGATGTGTGCCTTCAACTCACAGAGTTTAACCTTTCTTTTCATAGAGCAGTTCGGAAACACTCTATTTGTAAAGTCTGCAAGTGGATATTTGGACCTCTTTGAGGCCATCGTTGGAAAAGGGATTTCTTCATATAACGCTAGACAGAAGAATTTTCAGTAACTTCTTTGTGTTGTGTGTATTCAACTCACAGAGTTCAACTTTTCTTTAGAGAGAGCAGGGTTGAAACACTCTTTTTGTGGAATTTGCCAGTGCAGATTTCAAACGCTTCGAAGACAGTGATAGCAAAGGATATATCTTCGTATTAAAACTAGACAAAATCATTCTCAGAAAACACTTTGTGATGTGTGTGTTCAACTCACAGAGTTTAACCTTTCTTTAATCGAGCAGTTTGGAAATACACTCTTTGTAAGTCTGCAGGTGGATTATTGGCCCTCTTTGAGCCCTTCGTTGGAAACGGGATTTCCTCATATAATGCTAGACAGAAGAATTCTCAGTAACTTCTTTGTGTTGTTTGTATTCAACTCACAGATTTGAACCTTCCTTTAGAGAGAGCAGATTTGAAACACTCTGTTTTTGGAATTTGCAAGTGCAGATTTCAAGCGCTTCTAGGCCTATGGCAGAAAAGGAAATATCTTCATATAAAAACTACACAGAATCATTCTCAACAACTACTTTGTGATGTGTGCGTTCAACTCACAGAGTTTAACCTTTCTTTTCATAGAGCAGTTTGGAAACACTCTGTTTGTAAAGTCTGCAGGTGCTTATTTGGACTTCTTTGAGGCCTTCGTTGGAAACGGGATTTCTTCATATAATGCTAGACAGAAGAATTCTCAGTCACTTCTTTGTGTTGTGTGTATTCAAGTCACAGAGTTGAACCTTCCTTTACACAGAGCAGTTTTGAAAAACTCTTTCTGTGGAATTTGCAAGTGGAGATTTCAAGCGATTTGAGGCTAATCTTTGAAATGGAAATATCTTCGTGTAAAAACTATACAGAATCATTCTCAGAAACTGCTTTGTTATGTGTGCGTTCAGCTCACAGAGTTCCACCTTTCTTTTCATAGAGCAGTTTGGAAAGACTCTGTCTGTAAAGTCTGCAAGTGATTACTTGGACCCCTTTGAGGACTTCGTTGGAAGCGGGATTTTTTCATTTACTGCTAGACAGAAGAATTCTCAGTAAATCCTTTGTGTTGTGTGTATTCAACTCACAGAGTGGAACCTTCCTTTATTCAGAGCAGTTTTGAAAAACACTTTTTGTGGAATTTGCAAGTGGAGATTTCAAGCGATTTGATGCCAATCTTAGACATGGGAAATATCTTCATATTAAAAGTACACAGAGTCATTCGTAGAAACTAGTTTGTGATGTGTGCCTTCAACTCACAGAGTTTAACCTTTCTTTTCATAGAGCAGTTTGGAAACACTCTATTTGTAAAGTCTGCAAGTGGATATTTGGACCTCTTTGAGGCCTTCGTTGGAAACGGGATTTCTTCATACAACGCTAGACAGAAGAATTCTCAGTAACTTCTTTGTGTTGTGTGTATTCAACTCACAGAGTTGAACCTTTCTTTAGAGAGAGCAGAGTTGAAACACTCTGTTTTTGGAATTTGCAACTGCAGATTTCAAGCGATTCTAGGCCTATGGCAGAAAAGGAAATATCTTCGTATAAAAACTACACAGAATCATTCTCAACAACTACTTTGTGATGTGTGCGTTCAACTCACAGAGTTTAACCTTTCTTTTCATAGAGCAGTTTGGAAACACTCTGTTTGTAAAGCCTGCAAGTGCTTTTTTGGACTTCATTGAGGCCTTCGTTGGAAACGGGATTTCTTCATATAATGCTAGACAGAAGAATTCTCAGTCACTTCTTTGTGTTGTTTGTATTGAAGTCACAGAGTTGAACCTTCCTTTAGACAGAGCAGTTTTGGAAAATTCTTTCTGTGGAATTTGCAAGTGGAGATTTCAAGCGATTTGAGGCTAATCTTTGAAATGGAAATATCTTCGTATAAAAACTACACAGAATCATTCTCAGAAACTGCTTTGTTATCTGTGCGTTCAGTTCACAGAGTTTCACCTTTCTCTTCATAGAGCAGTTTGGAAAGACTCTGTCTGTAAAGTCTGCAAGTGATTAGTTAGACCCCTTTGAGGCCTTCGTTGGAAGCGGGATTTCTCATTTACTGCTAGACAGAAGAATTCTCAGTAAATCCTTTGTGTTGTGTGTATTCAACTCACAGAGTGGAACCTTCCTTTATTCAGAGCAGTTTTGAAACACTCTTTTTGTGGAATTTGCAAGTGGAGATTTCAAGCGATTTGACGCCAATCTTAGACATGGAAATATCTTCATATTAAAAGTACACAGAGTCATTCGCAGAAACTAGTTTGTGATGCGTGCCTTCAACTCACGGAGTTTAACCTTTCTTTTCATAGAGCAGTTTGGAAACACTCTATTTGTAAAGTCTGCAAGTGGATATTTGGACCTCTTTGAGGCCTTCGTTGGAAACGGGATTTCTTCATATAACGCTAGACAGAAGAATTCTCAGTAACTTCTTTGTGTTGTGTGTATTCCACTCACAGAGTTGAACCTTTCTTGAGAGAGAGCAGAGTTGAAACACTCTTTCTGTGGAATTTGCTAGTGCAGATTTCAAACGCTTCGAAGACAGTGATAGAAAAGGATATATCTTCGTATTAAAACTAGACAAAATCATTCTCAACAACTACTTTGTGATGTGTGCGTTCAACTCACAGAGTTTAACCTTTCTTTTCATAGAGCAGTTTGGAAACACTCTGTTTGTAAAGTCTGCAGGTGCTTATTTGGACTTCTTTGAGGCCTTCGTTAGAAACGGGATTTCTTCATATAATGCTAGACAGAAGAATTCTCAGTCACTTCTTTGTGTTGTGTGTATTCAAGTCACAGAGTTGAACCTTCCTTTACACAGAGCAGTTTTGAAAAACTCTTTCTGTGGAATTTGCAAGTGGAGATTTCAAGCGATTTGAGGCTAATCTTTGAAATGGAAATATCTTCGTGTAAAAACTACACAGAATCATTGTCAGAAACTGCTTTGTTATGTGTGCGTTCAGCTCACAGAGTTCCACCTTTCTTTTCATAGAGCAGTTTGGAAAGACTCTGTCTGTAAAGTCTGCAAGTGATTACTTGGACCCCTTTGAGGACTTCGTTGGAAGCGGGATTTTTTCATTTACTGCTAGACAGAAGAATTCTCAGTAAATCCTTTGTGTTGTGTGTATTCAACTCACAGAGTGGAACCTTCCTTTATTCAGAGCAGTTTTGAAACACTCTTTTTGTGGAATTTGCAAGTGGAGATTTCAAGCGAATTCACGCCAATCTTAGACATGGAAACATCTTCGTATTAAAAGTACACAGAGTCATTCGCAGAAACTAGTTTGTGATGTGTGCCTTCAACTCACAGAGTTTAACCTTTCTTTTCATAGAGCAGTTTGGAAACACTCTATTTGTAAAGTCTGCAAGTGGATATTTGGACCTCTTTGAGGCCTTCGTTGGAAACGGGATTTCTTCATATAACGCTAGACAGAAGAATTCTCAGTAACTTCTTTGTGTTGTTTGTATTCAACTCACAGATTTGAACCTTCCTTTAAAGAGAGCAGATTTGAAACACCCTGTTTTTGGCATTTGCAAGTGCAGATTTCAAGCGCTTCTAGGCCTATGGCAGAAAAGGAAATATCTTCGTATAAAAACTACACAGAATCATTCTCAGAAAACACTTTGTGATGTGTGTGTTCAACTCACAGAGCTTAACCTTTCTTTAATCGAGCAGTTTGGAAATACACTCTTTGTAAAGTCTGCAAGTGGGTAATTGGCCCTCTTTGAGCCCTTCATTGGAAACGGGATTTCCTCATATAGTGATAGACAGAAGAATTCTCAGTCACTTCTTTGTGTTGTGTGTATTCAAGTCACAGAGTTGAACCTTCCTTTACACAGAGCAGTTTTGAAAAACTCTTTCTGTGGAATTTGCAAGTGGAGATTTCAAGCGATTTGAGGCTAATCTTTGAAATGGAAATAGCTTCGTGTAAAAACTACACAGAATCATTCTCAGAAACTGCTTTGTTATGTGTGCGTTCAGCTCACAGAGTTCCACCTTTCTTTTCATAGAGCAGTTTGGAAAGACTCTGTCTGTAAAGTCTGCAAGTGATTACTTGGACCCCTTTGAGGACTTCGTTGGAAGCGGGATTTTTTCATTTACTGCTAGACAGAAGAATTCTCAGTAAATCCTTTGTGTTGTGTGTATTCAACTCACAGAGTGGAACCTTCCTTTATTCAGAGCAGTTTTGAAAAACACTTTTTGTGGAATTTGCAAGTGGAGATTTCAAGCGATTTGACGCCAATCTTAGACATGGAAATATCTTCATATTAAAAGTACACAGAGTCATTCGTAGAAACTAGTTTGTGATGTGTGCCTTCAACTCACAGAGTTTAACCTTTCTTTTCATAGAGCAGTTGGGAAACACTCTATTTGTAAAGTCTGCAAGTGGATATTTGGACCTCTTTGAGGCCTTCGTTGGAAACGGGATTTCTTCATATAACGCTAGACAGAAGAATTCTCAGTAACTTCTTTGTGTTGTGTGTATTCCACTCACAGAGTTGAACCTTTCTTGAGAGAGAGCAGAGTTGAAACACTCTGTTTGTGGAATTTGCTAGTGCAGATTTCAAACGCTTCGAAGACAGTGATAGAAAAGGATATATCTTCGTATTAAAACTAGACAAAATCATTCTCAGAAAACACTTTGTGATGTGTGTGTTCAACTCACAGTAGTTTAACCTTTCTTTAATCGAGCAGTTTGGAAATACACTCTTTGTAAGTCTGCAGCTGGATAATTGTCCCTCTATGAGCCCTTCGTTGGAAACGGGATTTCCTCTTATAATGCTAGACAGAAGAATTCTCAGTAACTTCTTTGTGTTGTTTGTATTCAACTCACAGATTTGAACCTTCCTTTAGAGAGAGCAGATTTGAAACACTCTGTTTTTGGAATTTGCAAGTGCAGATTGCAAGCGCTTCTAGGCCTATGGCAGAAAATTAAATATCTTCGTATAAAAACTACACAGAATCATTCTCAACAACTACTTTGTGATGTGTGCGTTCAACTCACAGAGTTTAACCTTTCTTTTCATAGAGCAGTTTGGAAACACTCTGTTTGTAAAGTCTGCAGGTGCTTATTTGGACTTCTTTGAGGCCTTCGTTGGAAACGGGATTTCTTCATATAATGCTAGACAGAAGAATTCTCAGTCACTTCTTTGTGTTGTGTGTATTCAAGTCACAGAGTTGAACCTTCCTTTACACAGAGCAGTTTTGAAAAACTCTTTCTGTGGAATTTGCAACTGGAGATTTCAAGCGATTTGAGGCTAATCTTTGAAATGGAAATATCTTCGTGTAAAAACTACACAGAATCATTGTCAGAAACTGCTTTGTTATGTGTGCGTTCAGCTCACAGAGTTCCACCTTTCTTTTCATAGAGCAGTTTGGAAAGACTCTGTCTGTAAAGTCTGCAAGTGATTACTTGGACCCCTTTGAGGACTTCGTTGGAAGCGGGATTTTTTCATTTACTGCTAGACAGAAGAATTCTCAGTAAATCCTTCGTGTTGTGTGTATTCAACTCACAGAGTGGAACCTTCCTTTATTCAGAGCAGTTTTGAAACACTCTTTTTGTGGAATTTGCAAGTGGAGATTTCAAGCGAATTCACGCCAATCTTAGACATGGAAACATCTTCGTATTAAAAGTACACAGAGTCATTCGCAGAAACTAGTTTGTGATGTGTGCCTTCAACTCACAGAGTTTAACCTTTCTTTTCATAGAGCAGTTTGGAAACACTCTATTTGTAAAGTCTGCAAGTGGATATTTGGACCTCTTTGAGGCCTTCGTTGGAAACGGGATTTCTTCATATAACGCTAGACAGAAGAATTCTCACTAACTTCTTTGTGTTGTGTGTATTCAACTCACAGAGTTGAACCTTTCTTTAGAGAGAGCAGAGCTGAAACACTCTGTTTTTGGAATTTGCAAGGGGAGATTTCAAGCGATTCTAGGCCTATGGCAGAAAAGGAATTATCTTCGTATAAAAACTACACAGAATCATTCTGAACAACTACTTTGTGATGTGTGCGTTCAACTCACAGAGTTTAACCTTTCTTTTCATAGAGCAGTTTGGAAACACTCTGTTTGTAAAGCCTGCAAGTGCTTTTTTGGACTTCATTGAGGCCTTCGTTGGAAACGGGATTTCTTCATATAACGCTAGACAGAAGAATTCTCAGTCACTTCTTTTTGTTGTGTGTATTCAAGTCGCAGAGTTGAACCTTCCTTTACACAGAGCAGTTTTGAAAAACTCTTTCTGTGGAATTTGCAAGTGGAGATTTCAAGCGATTTGAGGCTAATCTTTGAAATGGAAATATCTTCATGTAAAAACTACACAGAATCATTGTCAGAAACTGCTTTGTTATGTGTGCGTTCAGCTCACAGAGTTCCACCTTTCTTTTCATAGGGCAGTTTGGAAAGACTCTGTCTGTGAAGTCTGCAAGTGATTACTTGGACCCCTTTGAGGACTTCGTTGGAAGCGGGATTTTTTCATTTACTGCTAGAGAGAAGAATTCTCAGTAAATCCTTTGTGTTGTGTGTATTCAACTCACAGAGTGGAACCTTCCTTTATTCAGAGCAGTTTTGAAACACTCTTTTTGTGGAATTTGCAAGTGGAGATTTCAAGCGAATTCACCGCCAATCTTAGACATGGAAACATCTTCGTATTAAAAGTACACAGAGTCATTCGCAGAAACTAGTTTGTGATGTGTGCCTTCAACTCACAGAGTTTAACCTTTCTTTTCATAGAGCAGTTTGGAAACACTCTATTTGTAAAGTCTGCAAGTGGATATTTGGACCTCTTTGAGGCCTTCGTTGGAAACGGGATTTCTTCATATAACGCTAGACAGAAGAATTCTCAGTAACTTCTTTGTGTTGTGTGTATTCCACTCACAGAGTTGAACCTTTCTTGAGAGAGAGCAGAGTTGAAACACTCTGTTTGTGGAATTTGCTAGTGCAGATTTCAAACGCTTCGAAGACAGTGATAGAAAAGGATATATCTTCGTATTAAAACTAGACAAAATCATTCTCAGAAAACACTTTGTGATGTGTGCGTTCAACTCACAGAGTTTAACCTTTCTTTAATCGAGCAGTTTGGAAATACACTCTTTGTAAGTCTGCAGCTGGATAATTGTCCCTCTATGAGCCCTTCGTTGGAAACGGGATTTCCTCTTATAATGCTAGACAGAAGAATTCTCAGTCACTTCTTTGTGTTGTGTGTATTCAAGTCACAGAGTTGAACCTTCCTTTACACAGAGCAGTTTTGAAAAACTCTTTCTGTGGAATTTGCAAGTGGAGATTTCAAGCGATTTGAGGCTAATCTTTGAAATGGAAATATCTTCGTGTAAAAACTACACAGAATCATTCTCAGAAACTGCTTTGTCATCTGTGCGTTCAGTTCACAGAGTTTCACCTTTCTCTTCATAGAGCAGTTTGGAAAGACTCTGTCTGTAAAGTCTGCAAGTGATTAGTTAGACCCCTTTGAGGCCTTCGTTGGAAGCGGGATTTCTCATTTACTGCTAGACAGAAGAATTCTCAGTAAATCCTTTGTGTTGCGTGTATTCAACTCACAGAGTGGAACCTTCCTTTATTCAGAGCAGTTTTGAAAAACAATTTTTGTGGAATTTGCAAGTGGAGATTTCAAGCGATTTGACGCCAATCTTAGACATGGAAATATCTTCATATTAAAAGTACACAGAGTCATTCGCAGAAACTAGTTTGTGATGTGTGCCTTCAACTCACGGAGTTTAACCTTTCTTTTCATAGAGCAGTTTGGAAACACTCTATTTGTAAAGTCTGCAAGTGGATATTTGGACCTCTTTGAGGCCTTCGTTGGAAACGGGATTTCTTCATATAACGCTAGACAGAAGAATTCTCAGTAACTTCTTTGTGTTGTTTGTATTCAACACACAGATTTGAACCTTCCTTTAGAGAGAGCAGATTTGAAACACTCTGTTTTTGGAATTTGCAAGTGCAGATTTCATGCGCTTCTAGGCCTATGGCAGAAAAGGAAATATCTTCGTATAAAAACTACACAGAATCATTCTCAGAAAACACTTTGTGATGTGTGTGTTCAACTCACAGAGTTTAACCTTTCTTTAATCGAGCAGTTTGGAAATACACTCTTTGTAAGTCTGCAGCTGGATAATTGTCCCTCTATGAGCCCTTCGTTGGAAACGGGATTTCCTCTTATAATGCTAGACAGAAGAATTCTCAGTCACTTCTTTGTGTTGTGTGTATTCAAGTCACAGAGTTGAACCTTCCTTTACACAGAGCAGTTTTGAAAAACTCTTTCTGTGGAATTTGCAAGTGGAGATTTCAAGCGATTTGAGGCTAATCTTTGAAATGGAAATATCTTCGTGTAAAAACTACACAGAATCATTCTCAGAAACTGCTTTGTTATCTGTGCGTTCAGTTCACAGAGTTTCACCTTTCTCTTCATAGAGCAGTTTGGAAAGACTCTGTCTGTAAAGTCCGCAAGTGATTAGTTAGACCCCTTTGAGGCCTTCGTTGGAAGCGGGATTTCTCATTTACTGCTAGACAGAAGAATTCTCAGTAAATCCTTTGTGTTGTGTGTATTCAACTCACAGAGTGGAACCTTCCTTTATTCAGAGCAGTTTCGAAAAACACTTTTTGTGGAATTTGCAAGTGGAGATTTCAAGCGATTTGACGCCAATCTTAGACATGGAAATATCTTCATATTAAAAGTACACAGTGTCATTCGCAGAAACTAGTTTGTGATGTGTGCCTTCAACTCACGGAGTTTAACCTTTCTTTTCATAGAGCAGTTTGGAAACACTCTATTTGTAAAGTCTGCAAGTGGATATTTGGACCTCTTTGAGGCCTTCGTTGGAAACGGGATTTCTTCATATAACGCTAGACAGAAGAATTCTCAGTAACTTCTTTGTGTTGTGTGTATTCAACTCACAGAGTTGAACCTTTCTTTAGAGGGAGCAGAGGTGAGACACTCTTTTTGTGGAATTTGCAACTGCAGATTTCAAGCGATTCTTGGCCTATGGCAGAAAAGGAAATATCTTCGTATAAAAACTACACAGAATCATTCTCAGAAAACACTTTGTGATGTGTGTGTTCAACTCACAGAGTTTAACCTTTCTGTAATCGAGCAGTTTGGAAATACACTCTTTGTAAGTCTGCAGGTGGATAATTGTCCCTCTATGAGCCCTTCGTTGGAAACGGGATTTCCTCATATAATGCTAGACAGAAGAATTCTCAGTCACTTCTGTGTGTTGTGTGTATTCAAGTCACAGAGTTGAACCTTCCTTTACACAGAGCAGTTTTGAAAAACTCTTTCTGCGGAATTTGCAAGTGGAGATTTCAAGCGATTTGAGGCTAATCTTTGAAATGGAAATATCTTCGTGTAAAAACTACACAGAATCATTCTCAACAACTACTTTGTGATGAGTGCCTTCAACTCACACAGTTTAACCTTTCTTTTCATAGAGCAGTTTGGAAACACTCTGTTTGTAAAGTCTGCAGGTGCTTATTTGGACTTCTTTGAGGCCTTCGTTGGAAACGGGATTTCTTCATATAATGCTAGACAGAAGAATTCACAGTCACTTCTTTGTGTTGTGTTTATTCAAGTCACAGAGTTGAACCTTCCTTTATTCAGAGCAGTTTTGAAAAACACTTTTTGTGGAATTTGGAAGTGGAGATTTCAAGCGATTTGACGCCAATCTTAGACATGGAAATATCTTCATATTAAAAGTACACAGAGTCATTCGTAGAAACTAGTTTGTGATGTGTGCCTTCAACTCACAGAGTTTAACCTTTCTTTTCATAGAGTAGTTTGGAAACACTCTATTTGTAAAGTCTGCAAGTGGATATTTGGACCTCTTTGAGGCCTTCGTTCGAAAAGGGATTTCTTCATACAACGCTAGACAGAAGAATTCTCAGTAACTTCTTTGTGTTGTGTGTATTCAACTCACAGAGTTGAACCTTTCTTGAGAGAGAGCAGAGTTGAAACACTCTGTTTGTGGAATTTGCTAGTGCAGATTTCAAACGCTTCGAAGACAGTGATAGAAAAGGATATATCTTCGTATTAAAACTAGACAAAATCATTCTCAACAACTACTTTGTGATGTGTGCGTTCAACTCACAGAGTTTAACCTTTCTTTTCATAGAGCAGTTTGGAAACACTCTGTTTGTAAAGCCTGCAAGTGCTTTTTTGGACTTCATTGAGGCCTTCTTTGGAAACGGGATTTCTTCATATAATGCTAGACAGAAGAATTCTCAGTCACTTCTTTGTGTTGTGTGTATTCAAGTCACAGAGTTGAACCTTCCTTTACACAGAGCAGTTTTGAAAAACTCTTTCTGTGGAATTTGCAAGTGGAGATTTCAAGCGATTTGAGGCTAATCTTTGAAATGGAAATAGCTTCGTGTAAAAACTACACAGAATCATTCTCAGAAACTGCTTTGTTATCTGTGTGTTCAGTTCACAGAGTTTCACCTTTCTCTTCATAGAGCAGTTTGGAAAGACTCTGTCTGTAAAGTCTGCAAGTGATTAGTTAGACCCCTTTGAGGCCTTCGTTGGAAGCGGGATTTCTCATTTACTGCTAGACAGAAGAATTCTCAGTAAATCCTTTGTGTTGTGTGTATTCAACTCACAGAGTGGAACCTTCCTTTATTCAGAGCAGTTTTGAAAAACACTTTTTGTGGAATTTGCAAGTGGAGATTTCAAGCGATTTGACGCCAATCTTAGACATGGAAAAATCTTCATATTAAAAGTACACAGAGTCATTCGCAGAAACTAGTTTGTGATGTGTGCCTTCAACTCACAGAGTTTAACTTTTCTTTTCATAGAGCAGTTTGGAAACACTCTGTTTGTAACGTCTGCAAGTGGATATTTGGACCTCTTTGAGGCCTTCGTTGGAAACGGGATTTCTTCATAAAACGCTAGACAGAAGAATTCTCAGTAACTTCTTTGTGTTGTTTGTATTCAACACACAGATTTGAACCTTCCTTTAGAGAGAGCAGATTTGAAACACTCTGTTTTTGGAATTTGCAAGTGCAGATTTCAAGCGCTTCTAGGCCTATGGCAGAAAAGGAAATATCTTCGTATAAAAACTACACAGAATCATTCTCAACAACTACTTTGTGATGTGTGCGTTCAACTCACAGAGTTTAACCTTTCTTTTCATAGAGCAGTTTGGAAACACTCTGTTTGTAAAGCCTGCAAGTGCTTTTTTGGACTTCATTGAGGCCTTCGTTGGAAACGGGATTTCTTCATATAATGCTAGACAGAAGAATTCTCAGTCACTTCTTTGTGTTGTGTGTATTCAAGTCACAGAGTTGAACCTTCCTTTAGACAGAGCAGTTTTGAAAAATTCTTTCTGTGGAGTTTGCAAGTGGAGATTTCAAGCGATTTGAGGCTAATCTTTGAAATGGAAATATCTTCGTGTAAAAACTACACAGAATCATTCTCAGAAACTGCTTTGTTATGTGTGCGTTCAGCTCACAGAGTTCCACCTTTCTTTTCATAGAGCAGTTTGGAAAGACTCTGTCTGTAAAGTCTGCAAGTGATTACTTGGACCCCTTTGAGGACTTCGTTGGAAGCGGGATTTTTTCATTTACTGCTAGACAGAAGAATTCTCAGTAAATCCTTTGTGTTGTGTGTATTCAACTCACAGAGTGGAACCTTCCTTTATTCAGAGCAGTTTTGAAACACTCTTTTTGTGGAATTTGCAAGTGGAGATTTCAAGCGAATTCACGCCAATCTTAGACATGGAAACATCTTCGTATTAAAAGTACACAGAGTCATTCGCAGAAACTAGTTTGTGATGTGTGCCTTCAACTCACGGAGTTTAACCTTTCTTTTCATAGAGCAGTTTGGAAACACTCTATTTGTAAAGTCTGCAAGTGGATATTTGGACCTCTTTGAGGCCTTCGTTGGAAACGGGATTTCTTCATATAACGCTAGACAGAAGAATTCTCAGTAACTTCTTTGTGTTGTATGTATTCAACACACAGATTTGAACCTTCCTTTAGAGAGAGCAGATTTGAAACACTCTGTTTTTGGAATTTGCAAGTGCAGATTTCAAGCGCTTCTAGGCCTATGGCAGAAAAGGAAATATCTTCGTATAAAAACTACACAGAATCATTCTCAACAACTACTTTGTGATGTGTGCGTTCATCTCACAGAGTTTAACCTTTCTTTTCATAGAGCAGTTTGGAAACACCCTGTTTGTAAAGTCTGCAGGTGCTTATTTGGACTTTTTGAGGCCTTCGTTGGAAACGGGATTTCTTCATATAATGCTAGACAGAAGAATTCTCAGTCACTTCTTTGTGTTGTGTGTATTCAAGTCGCAGAGTTGAACCTTCCTTTACACAGAGCAGTTTTGAAAAACTCTTTCTGTGGAATTTGCAAGTGGAGATTTCAAGCGATTTGAGGCTAATCTTTGAAATGGAAATATCTTCATGTAAAAACTACACAGAATCATTCTCAGAAACTGCTTTGTTATCTGTGCGTTCAGTTCACAGAGTTTCACCTTTCTCTTCATAGAGCAGTTTGGAAAGACTCTGTCTGTAAAGTCTGCAAGTGATTAGTTAGACCCCTTTGAGGCCTTCGTTGGAAGCGGGATTTCTCATTTACTGCTAGACAGAAGAATTCTCAGTAAATCCTTTGTGTTGTGTGTATTCAACTCACAGAGTGGAACCTTCCTTTATTCAGAGCAGTTTTGAAACACTCTTTTTGTGGAATTTGCAAGTGGAGATTTCAAGCGATTTGACGCCAATCTTAGACATGGAAATATCTTCATATTAAAAGTACACAGAGTCATTCGTAGAAACTAGGTTGTGATGTGTGCCTTCAACTCACAGAGTTTAACCTTTCTTTTCATAGAGCAGTTCGGAAACACTCTATTTGTAAAGTCTGCAAGTGGATATTTGGACCTCTTTGAGGTCTTCGTTGGAAACGGGATTTCTTCATATAACGCTAGACAGAAGAATTTTCAGTAACTTCTTTGTGTTGTGTGTATTCAACTCACAGAGTTGAACCTTTCTTTAGAGAGAGCAGAGTTGAAACACTCTTTTTGTGGAATTTGCTAGTGCAGATTTCAAACGCTTCGAAGACAGTGATAGAAAAGGATATATCTTCATATTAAAATTAGACAAAATCATTCTCAGAAAACACTTTGTGATGTGTGTGTTCAACTCACAGAGTTTAACCTTTCTTTAATCGAGCAGTTTGGAAACACTCTATTTGTAAAGTCCGCAAGTGGATATTTGGACATCTTTGAGGCCTTCGTTGGAAACGGGATTTCTTCATACAACGCTAGACAGAAGAATTCTCAGTAACTTCTTTGTGTTGTTTGTATTCAACACACAGATTTGAACCTTCCTTTAGAGAGAGCAGATTTGAAACACTCTGTTTTTGGAATTTGCAAGTGCAGATTTCAAGCGCTTCTAGGCCTATGGCAGAAAAGGAAATATCTTCGTATAAAAACTACACAGAGTCATTCGCAGAAACTAGTTTGTGATGTGTGCGTTCAACTCACAGAGTTTAACCTTTCTTTTCATAGAGCAGTTTGGAAACACTCTGTTTGTAAAGTCTGCAGGTGCTTATTTGGACTTCTTTGAGGCCTTCGTTGGAAACGGGATTTCTTCATATAATGCTAGACAGAAGATTTCTCAGTCACTTCTTTGTGTTGTGTGTATTCAAGTCGCAGAGTTGAACCTTCCTTTACACAGAGCAGTTTTGAAAAACTCTTTCTGTGGAATTTGCAAGTGGAGATTTCAAGCGATTTGAGGCTAATCTTTGAAATGGAAATATCTTCATGTAAAAACTACACAGAATCATTCTCAGAAACTGCTTTGTTATGTGTGCGTTCAGCTCACAGAGTTCCACCTTTCTTTTCATAGGGCAGTTTGGAAAGACTCTGTCTGTGAAGTCTGCAAGTGATTACTTGGACCCCTTGGAGGACTTCGTTGGAAGCGGGATTTTTTCATTTACTGCTAGACAGAAGAATTCTCAGTAAATCCTTTGTGTTGTGTGTATTCAACTCACAGAGTGGAACCTTCCTTTATTCAGAGCAGTTTTGAAACACTCTTTTTGTGGAATTTGCAAGTGGAGATTTCAAGCGAATTCACGCCAATCTTAGACATGGAAACATCTTCGTATTAAAAGTACACAGAGTCATTCGCAGAAACTAGTTTGTGATGTGTGCCTTCAACTCACGGAGTTTAACCTTTCTTTTCATAGAGCAGTTTGGAAACACTCTATTTGTAAAGTCTGCAAGTGGATATTTGGACCTCTTTGAGGCCTTCGTTGGAAACGGGATTTCTTCATATAACGCTAGACAGAAGAATTCTCAGTAACTTCTTTGTGTTGTGTGTATTCAACTCACAGAGTTGAACCTTTCTTTAGAGAGAGCAGAGTTGAAACACTCTGTTTTTGGAATTTGCAAGTGCAGATTTCAAGCGCTTCTAGGCCTATGGCAGAAAAGGAAATATCTTCGTATAAAAACTACACAAAATCATTCTCAACAACTACTTTGTGATGTGTGCGTTCAACTCACAGAGTTTAACCTTTCTTTTCATAGAGCAGTTTGGAAACACTCTGTTTGTAAAGCCTGCAAGTGCTTTTTTGGACTTCATTGAGGCCTTCGTTGGAAACGGGATTTCTTCATATAATGCTAGACAGAAGAATTCTCAGTCACTTCTTTGTGTTGTGTGTATTCAAGTCACAGAGTTGAACCTTCCTTTAGACAGAGCAGTTTTGAAAAATTCTTTCTGTGGAGTTTGCAAGTGGAGATTTCAAGCGATTTGAGGCTAATCTTTGAAATGGAAATATCTTCGTGTAAAAACTACACAGAATCATTGTCAGAAACTGCTTTGTTATGTGTGCGTTCAGCTCACAGAGTTCCACCTTTCTTTTCATAGAGCAGTTTGGAAAGACTCTGTCTGTAAAGTCTGCAAGTGATTACTTGGACCCCTTTGAGGACTTCGTTGGAAGCGGGATTTTTTCATTTACTGCTAGACAGAAGAATTCTCAGTAAATCCTTTGTGTTGTATGTATTCAACTCACAGAGTGGAACCTTCCTTTATTCAGAGCAGTTTTGAAAAACACTTTTTGTGGAATTTGCAAGTGGAGATTTCAAGTGATTTGACGCCAATCTTAGACATGGAAATATCTTCATATTAAAAGTACACAGAGTCATTCGTAGAAACTAGTTTGTGATGTGTGCCTTCAACTCACAGAGTTTAACCTTTCTTTTCATAGAGCAGTTTGGAAACACTCTATTTGTAAAGTCTGCAAGTGGATATTTGGACCTCTTTGAGGCCTTCGTTGGAAACGGGATTTCTTCATACAACGCTAGATAGAAGAATTCTCAGTAACTTCTTTGTGTTGTGTGTATTCAACTCACAGAGTTGAACCTTTCTTTAGAGAGAGCAGAGTTGAAACACTCTGTTTTTGGAATTTGCAACTGCAGATTTCAAGCGATTCTAGGCCTATGGCAGAAAAGGAAATATCTTCGTATAAAAACTACACAGAATCATTCTCAGAAAACACTTTGTGATGTGTGTGTTCAACTCACAGAGTTTAACCTTTCTTTAATCGAGCAGTTTGGAAATACACTCTTTGTAAGTCTGCAGGTGGATAATTGGCCCTCTTTGAGCCCTTCGTTGGAAACGGGATTTCCTCATATAATGCTAGACAGAAGAATTCTCAGTAACTTCTTTGTGTTGTTTGTATTCAACTCACAGATTTGAACCTTCCTTTAGAGAGAGCAGATTTGAAACACTCTGTTTTTGGAATTTGCAAGTGCAGATTTCAAGCGCTTCTAGGCCTATGGCAGAAAAGGAAATATCTTCGTAGAAAAACTACACAGAATCATTCTCAACAACTACTTTGTGATGTGTGCGTTCAACTCACAGAGTTTAACCTTTCTTTTCATAGAGCAGTTTGGAAACACTCTGTTTGTAAAGCCTGCAAGTGCTTTTTTGGACTTCATTGAGGCCTTCGTTGGAAACGGGATTTCTTCATATAATGCTAGACAGAAGAATTCTCAGTCACTTCTTTGTGTTGTGTGTATTCAAGTCACAGAGTTGAACCTTCTTTTAGACAGAGCAGTTTTGAAAAATTTTTTCTGTGGAATTTGCAAGTGGAGATTTCAAGCGATTTGAGGCTAATCTTTGAAATGGAAATATCTTCGTGTAAAAACTACACAGAATCATTCTCAGAAACTGCTTTGTTATGTGTGCGTTCAGCTCACAGAGTTCCACCTTTCTTTTCATAGAGCAGTTTGGAAAGACTCTGTCTGTAAAGTCTGCAAGTGATTACTTGGACCCCTTTGAGGACTTCGTTGGAAGCGGGATTTTTTCATTTACTGCTAGACAGAAGATTTCTCAGTAAATCCTTTGTGTTGTGTGTATTCAACTCACAGAGTGGAACCTTCCTTTATTCAGAGCACTTTTGAAAAACACTTTTTGTGGAATTTGCAAGTGGAGATTTCAAGCGATTTGATGCCAATCTTAGACATGGAAATATCTTCATATTAAAAGTACACAGAGTCATTCGCAGAAACTAGTTTGTGATGTGTGCCTTCAACTCACGGAGTTTAACCTTTCTTTTCATAGAGCAGTTTGGAAACACTCTATTTGTAAAGTCTGCAAGTGGATATTTGGACCTCTTTGAGGCCTTCGTTGGAAACGGGATTTCTTCATATAACGCTAGACAGAAGAATTCTCAGTAACTTCTTTGTGTTGTGTGTATTCAACTCACAGAGTTGAACCTTTCTTGAGAGAGAGCAGAGTTGAAACACTCTTTCTGTGGAATTTGCTAGTGCAGATTTCAAACGCTTCGAAGACAGTGATAGAAAAGGGTATATCTTCGTATTAAAACTAGACAAAATCATTCTCAACAACTACTTTGTGATGTGTGCGTTCAACTCACAGAGTTTAACCTTTCTTTTCATAGAGCAGTTTGGAAACACTCTGTTTGTAAAGCCTGCAAGTGCTTTTTTGGACTTCATTGAGGCCTTCGTTGGAAACGGGATTTCTTCATATAATGCTAGACAGAAGAATTCTCAGTCACTTCTTTGTGTTGTGTGTATTCAAGTCACAGAGTTGAACCTTCCTTTACACAGAGCAGTTTTGAAAAACTCTTTCTGTGGAATTTGCAAGTGGAGATTTCAAGCGATTTGAGGCTAATCTTTGAAATGGAAATATCTTCGTGTAAAAACTACACAGAATCATTCTCAGAAACTGCTTTGTTATGTGTGCGTTCAGCTCACAGAGTTCCACCTTTCTTTTCATAGAGCAGTTTGGAAAGACTCTGTCTGTAAAGTCTGCAAGTGATTACTTGGACCCCTTTGAGGACTTCGTTGGAAGCGGGATTTTTTCATTTACTGCTAGACAGAAGAATTCTCAGTAAATCCTTTGTGTTGTGTGTATTCAACTCACAGAGTGGAACCTTCCTTTATTCAGAGCAGTTTTGAAACACTCTTTTTGTGGAATTTGCAAGTGGAGATTTCAAGCGAATTCACGCCAATCTTAGACATGGAAACATCTTCGTATTAAAAGTACACAGTCATTCGCAGAAACTAGTTTGTGATGTGTGCCTTCAACTCACGGAGTTTAACCTTTCTTTTCATAGAGCAGTTTGGAAACACTCTATTTGTAAAGTCTGCAAGTGGATATTTGGACCTCTTTGAGGCCTTCGTTGGAAACGGGATTTCTTCATATAACGCTAGACAGAAGAATTCTCAGTAACTTCTTTTTGTTGTGTGTATTCAACTCACAGCAGTTGAACCTTTCTTTAGAGAGAGCAGAGTTGAAACACTCTGTTTTTGGAATTTGCAAGTGCAGATTTCAAGCGCTTCTAGGCCTATGGCAGAAAAGGAAATATCTTCGTATAAAAACTACACAGAGTCATTCTCAACAACTACTTTGTGATGTGTGCGTTCAACTCACAGAGTTTAACCTTTCTTTTCATAGAGCAGTTTGGAAACACTCTGTTTGTAAAGCCTGCAAGTGCTTTTTTGGACTTCATTGAGGCCTTCGTTGGAAACGGGATTTCTTCATATAATGCTAGACAGAAGAATTCTCAGTCACTTCTTTGTGTTGTGTGTATTCAAGTCACAGAGTTGAACCTTCCTTTACACAGAGCAGTTTTGAAAAACTCTTTCTGTGGAATTTGCAAGTGGAGATTTCAAGCGATTTGAGGCTAAGCTTTGAAATGGAAATAGCTTCGTGTAAAAACTACACAGAATCATTCTCAGAAACTGCTTTGTTATGTGTGCGTTCAGCTCACAGAGTTCCACCTTTCTCTTCATAGAGCAGTTTGGAAAGACTCTGTCTGTAAAGTCTGCAAGTGATTACTTGGACCCCTTTGAGGACTTCGTTGGAAGCGGGATTTTTTCATTTACTGCTAGACAGAAGAATTCTCAGTAAATCCTTTGTGTTGTGTGTATTCAACTCACAGAGTGGAACCTTCCTTTATTCAGAGCAGTTTTGAAACACTCTTTTTGTGGAATTTGCAAGTGGAGATTTCAAGCGATTTGACGCCAATCTTAGACATGGAAATATCTTCATATTAAAAGTACACAGAGTCATTCGCAGAAACTACTTTGTGATGTGTGCCTTCAACTCACAGAGTTTAACCTTTCTTTTCATAGAGCAGTTTGGAAACACTCTATTTGTAAAGTCTGCAAGTGGATATTTGGACCTCTTTGAGGCCTTCGTTGGAAACGGGATTTCTTCATGTAACGCTAGACAGAAGAATTCTCAGTCACTTCTTTGTGTTGTGTGTATTCCACTCACAGATTTGAACCTTTCTTGAGAGAGAGCAGAGTTGAAACACTCTGTTTGTGGAATTTGCTAGTGCAGATTTCAAACGCTTCGAAGACAGTGATAGAAAAGGATATATCTTCGTATTAAAACTAGACAAAATCATTCTCAGAAAACACTTTGTGATGTGTGTGTTCAACTCACAGAGTTTAACCTTTCTTTAATCGAGCAGTTTGGAAATACACTCTTTGTAAGTCTGCAGCTGGATAATTGTCCCTCTATGAGCCCTTCGTTGGAAACGGGATTTCCTCATATAATGCTAGACAGAAGAATTCTCAGTCACTTCTTTGTGTTGTGTGTATTCAAGTCACAGAGTTGAACCTTCCTTTACACAGAGCAGTTTTGAAAAACTCTTTCTGTGGAATTTGCAAGTGGAGATTTCAAGCGATTTGAGGCTAATCTTTGAAATGGAAATAGCTTCGTGTAAAAACTACACAGAATCATTCTCAGAAACTGCTTTGTCATCTGTGCGTTCAGTTCACAGAGTTTCACCTTTCTCTTCATAGAGCAGTTTGGAAACACTCTGTCTGTAAAGTCCGCAAGTGATTAGTTAGACCCCTTTGAGGCCTTCGTTGGAAGCGGGATTTCTCATTTACTGCTAGACAGAAGAATTCTCAGTAAATCCTTTGTGTTGTGTGTATTCAACTCACAGAGTGGAACCTTCCTTTATTCAGAGCAGTTTTGAAACACTCTTTTTGTGGAATTTGCAAGTGGAGATTTCAAGCGATTTGACGCCAATCTTAGACATGGAAATATCTTCATATTAAAAGTACACAGAGTCATTCGTAGAAACTAGTTTGTGATGTGTGCCTTCAACTCACAGAGTTTAACCTTTCTTTTCATAGAGCAGTTGGGAAACACTCTATTTGTAAAGTCTGCAAGTGGATATTTGGACCTCTTTGAGGCCTTCGTTGGAAACGGGATTTCTTCATATAACGCTAGACAGAAGAATTCTCAGTAACTTCTTTGTGTTGTGTGTATTCCACTCACAGAGTTGAACCTTTCTTGAGAGAGAGCAGAGTTGAAACACTCTGTTTGTGGAATTTGCTAGTGCAGATTTCAAACGCTTCGAAGACAGTGATAGAAAAGGATATATCTTCGTATTAAAACTAGACAAAATCATTCTCAGAAAACACTTTGTGATGTGTGTGTTCAACTCACAGAGTTTAACCTTTCTTTAATCGAGCAGTTTGGAAATACACTCTTTGTAAGTCTGCAGCTGGATAATTGTCCCTCTATGAGCCCTTCGTTGGAAACGGGATTTCCTCATATAATGCTAGACAGAAGAATTCTCAGTCACTTCTTTGTGTTGTGTGTATTCAAGTCACAGAGTTGAACCTTCCTTTACACAGAGCAGTTTTGAAAAACTCTTTCTGTGGAATTTGCAAGTGGAGATTTCAAGCGATTTGAGGCTAATCTTTGAAATGGAAATAGCTTCGTGTAAAAACTACACAGAATCATTCTCAGAAACTGCTTTGTTATGTGTGCGTTCAGCTCACAGAGTTCCACCTTTCTTTTCATAGAGCAGTTTGGAAAGACTCTGTCTGTAAAGTCTGCAAGTGATTACTTGGACCCCTTTGAGGACTTCGTTGGAAGCGGGATTTTTTCATTTACTGCTAGACAGAAGAATTCTCAGTAAATCCTTTGTGTTGTGTGTATTCAACTCACAGAGTGGAACCTTCCTTTATTCAGAGCAGTTTTGAAAAACACTTTTTGTGGAATTTGCAAGTGGAGATTTCAAGCGATTTGACGCCAATCTTAGACATGGAAATATCTTCATATTAAAAGTACACAGAGTCATTCGTAGAAACTAGTTTGTGATGTGTGCCTTCAACTCACAGAGTTTAACCTTTCTTTTCATAGAGCAGTTGGGAAACACTCTATTTGTAAAGTCTGCAAGTGGATATTTGGACCTCTTTGAGGCCTTCGTTGGAAACGGGATTTCTTCATATAACGCTAGACAGAAGAATTGTCAGTAACTTCTTTGTGTTGTTTGTATTCATCTCACAGATTTGAACCTTCCTTTAGAGAGAGCAGATTTGAAACACTCTGTTTTTGGAATTTGCAAGTGCAGATTACAAGCGCTTCTAGGCCTATGGCAGAAAAGGAAATATCTTCGTATAAAAACTACACAGAATCATTCTCAACAACTACTTTGTGATGTGTGCGTTCAACTCACAGAGTTTAACCTTTCTTTTCATAGAGCAGTTTGGAAACACTCTGTTTGTAAAGTCTGCAGGTGCTTATTTGGACTTCTTTGAGGCCTTCGTTGGAAACGGGATTTCTTCATATAATGCTAGACAGAAGAATTCTCAGTCACTTCTTTGTGTTGTGTGTATTCAAGTCACAGAGTTGAACCTTCCTTTACACAGAGCAGTTTTGAAAAACTCTTTCTGTGGAATTTGCAACTGGAGATTTCAAGCGATTTGAGGCTATTCTTTGAAATGGAAATATCTTCGTGTAAAAACTACACAGAATCATTGTCAGAAACTGCTTTGTTATGTGTGCGTTCAGCTCACAGAGTTCCACCTTTCTTTTCATAGAGCAGTTTGGAAAGACTCTGTCTGTAAAGTCTGCAAGTGATTACTTGGACCCCTTTGAGGACTTCGTTGGAAGCGGGATTTTTTCATTTACTGCTAGACAGAAGAATTCTCAGTAAATCCTTTGTGTTGTGTGTATTCAACTCACAGAGTGGAACCTTCCTTTATTCAGAGCAGTTTTGAAACACTCTTTTTGTGGAATTTGCAAGTGGAGATTTCAAGCGAATTCACGCCAATCTTAGACATGGAAACATCTTCGTATTAAAAGTACACAGAATCATTCGTAGAAACTAGTTTGTGATGTGTGCCTTCAACTCACAGAGTTTAACCTTTCTTTTCATAGAGCAGTTCGGAAACACTCTATTTGTAAAGTCTGCAAGTGGATATTTGGACCTCTTTGAGGCCTTCGTTGGAAAAGGGATTTCTTCGTATAACGCTAGACAGAAGAATTCTCAGTAACTTCTTTGAGTTGTGTGTATTCAACTCACCGAGTTGAACCTTTCTTTAGAGAGAGCAGAGTTGAAACACTCTTCTTGTGGAATTTGCTAGTGCAGATTTCAAACGCTTCGAAGACAGTGATAGAAAAGGATATATCTTCGTATTAAAACTAGACAAAATCATTCTCAACAACTACTGTGTGATGTGTGCGTTCAACTCACAGAGTTTAACCTTTCTTTTCATAGAGCAGTTTGGAAACACTCTGTTTGTAAAGTCTGCAGGTGCTTATTTGGACTTCTTTGAGGCCTTCGTTGGAAACGGGATTTCTTCATATAATGCTAGACAGAAGAATTCTCAGTCACTTCTTTGTGTTGTGTGTATTCAAGTCACAGAGTTGAACCTTCCTTTACACAGAGCAGTTTTGAAAAACTCTTTCTGTGGAATTTGCAAGTGGAGATTTCAAGCGATTTGAGGCTAATCTTTGAAATGGAAATATCTTCGTGTAAAAACTACACAGAATCATTCTCAGAAACTGCTTTGTTATGTGTGCGTTCAGCTCACAGAGTTCCACCTTTCTTTTCATAGAGCAGTTTGGAAAGACTCTGTCTGTAAAGTCTGCAAGTGATTACTTGGACCCCTTTGAGGACTTCGTTGGAAGCGGGATTTTTTCATTTACTGCTAGACAGAAGAATTCTCAGTAAATCCTTTGTGTTGTGTGTATTCAACTCACAGAGTGGAACCTTCCTTTATTCAGAGCAGTTTTGAAACACTCTTTTTGTGGAATTTGCAAGTGGAGATTTCAAGCGAATTCACGCCAATCTTAGACATGGAAACATCTTCGTATTAAAAGTACACAGAGTCATTCGCAGAAACTAGTTTGTGATGTGTGCCTTCAACTCACGGAGTTTAACCTTTCTTTTCATAGAGCAGTTTGGAAACACTGTATTTGTAAAGTCTGCAAGTGGATATTTGGACCTCTTTGAGGCCTTCGTTGGAAACAGGATTTCTTCATATAACGCTAGACAGAAGAATTCTCAGTAACTTCTTTGTGTTGTTTGTATTCAACTCACAGATTTGAACCTTCCTTTGGAGAGAGCAGATTTGAAACACTCTGTTTTTGGAATTTGCAAGTGCAGATTGCAAGCGCTTCTAGGCCTATGGCAGAAAAGGAAATATCTTCGTATAAAAACTACACAGAATCATTATCAACAACTACTTTGTGATGTGTGCTTTCAACTCACAGAGTTTAACCTTTCTTTTCTTAGAGCAGTTTGGAAACACTCTGTTTGTAAAGCCT
Organism: Homo sapiens; assembly: GCF_000001405.40. Taxonomy (NCBI): domain Eukaryota; kingdom Metazoa; phylum Chordata; class Mammalia; order Primates; family Hominidae; genus Homo; species Homo sapiens. The sequence goes on from NC_000010.11 coordinate 41,185,524, forward strand.
GCAAGTGCTTTTTTGGACTTCATTGAGGCCTTCGTTGGAAACGGGATTTCTTCATATAATGCTAGCAGAAGAATTCTCAGTCACTTCTTTGTGTTGTGTGTATTCAAGTCACAGAGTTGAACCTTCCTTTAGACAGAGCAGTTTTGAAAAATTCTTTCTGTGTAATTTGCAAGTGGAGATTTCAAGCGATTTGAGGCTAATCTTTGAAATGGAAATATCTTCGTGTAAAAACTACACAGAATCATTCTCAGAAACTGCTTTGTTATGTGTGCGTTCAGCTCACAGAGTTCCACCTTTCTTTTCATAGAGCAGTTTGGAAAGACTCTGTCTGTAAAGTCTGCAAGTGATTACTTGGACCCCTTTGAGGACTTCGTTGGAAGCGGGATTTTTTCATTTACTGCTAGACAGAAGAATTCTCAGTAAATCCTTTGTGTTGTGTGTATTCAACTCACAGAGTGGAACCTTCCTTTATTCAGAGCAGTTTTGAAACACTCTTTTTGTGGAATTTGCAAGTGGAGATTTCAAGCGAATTCACGCCAATCTTAGACATGGAAACATCTTCGTATTAAAAGTACACAGAGTCATTCGTAGAAACTAGTTTGTGATGTGTGCCTTCAACTCACAGAGTTTAACCTTTCTTTTCATAGAGCAGTTTGGAAACACTCTATTTGTAAAGTCTGCAAGTGGATATTTGGACCTCTTTGAGGCCTTCGTTGGAAACGGGATTTCTTCATACAACGCTAGACAGAAGAATTCTCAGTAACTTCTTTGTGTTGTGTGTATTCAACTCACAGAGTTGAACCTTTCTTTAGAGAGAGCAGAGTTGAAACACTCTTTTTGTGGAATTTGCTAGTGCAGATTTCAAACGCTTCGAAGACAGTGATAGAAAAGGATATATCTTCGTATTAAAAGTAGACAAAATCATTCTCAGAAAACTCTTTGTGATGTGTGTGTTCAACTCACAGAGTTTAACCTTTCTTTTCATAGAGCAGTTTGGAAACACTCTGTTTGTAAAGCCTGCAAGTGCTTTTTTGTACTTCATTGAGGCCTTCGTTGGAAACGGGATTTCTTCATACAACGCTAGACAGAAGAATTCTCAGTCACTTCTTTGTGTTGTGTGTATTCAACTCACAGAGTTGAACCTTCCTTTAGACAGAGCAGTTTTGAAAAATTCTTTCTGTGTAATTTGCAAGTGGAGATTTCAAGCGATTTGAGGCTAATCTTTGAAATGGAAATATCTTCGTGTAAAAACTACACAGAATCATTCTCAGAAACTGCTTTGTCATCTGTGCGTTCAGTTCACAGAGTTTCACCTTTCTCTTCATAGAGCAGTTTGGAAAGACTCTGTCTGTAAAGTCTGCAAGTGATTAGTTAGACCCCTTTAAGGCCTTCGTTGGAAGCGGGATTTCTCATTTACTGCTAGACAGAAGAATTCTCAGTAAATCCTTTGTGTTGTGTGTATTCAACTCACAGAGTGGAACCTTCCTTTATTCAGAGCAGTTTTGAAACACTCTTTTTGTGGAATTTGCAAGTGGAGATTTCAAGCGATTTGACGCCAATCTTAGACATGGAAATATCTTCATATTAAAAGTACACAGAGTCATTCGTAGAAACTAGTGTGTGATGTGTGCCTTCAACTCACAGAGTTTAACCTTTCTTTTCATAGAGCAGTTGGGAAACACTCTATTTGTAAAGTCTGCAAGTGGATATTTGGACCTCTTTGAGGCCTTCGTTGGAAACGGGATTTCTTCATATAACGCTAGACAGAAGAATTCTCAGTAACTTCTTTGTGTTGTTTGTATTCAACTCACTGATTTGAACCTTCCTTTAGAGAGAGCAGATTTGAAACACTCTGTTTTTGGAATTTGCAAGTGCAGATTTCAAGCGCTTCTAGGCCTATGGCAGAAAAGGAAATATCTTCGTATAAAAACTACACAGAATCATTCTCAACACCTACTTTGTGATGTGTGCGTTCAACTCACAGAGTTTAACCTTTCTTTTCATAGAGCAGTTTGGAAACACTCTGTTTGTAAAGTCTGCAGGTGCTTATTTGGACTTCTTTGAGGCCTTCGTTGGAAACGGGATTTCTTCATATAATGCTAGAGAGAAGAATTCTCAGTCACTTCTTTGTGTTGTGTGTATTCAAGTCACAGAGTTGAACCTTCCTTTAGACAGAGCAGTTTTGAAAAATTCTTTCTGTGGAGTTTGCAAGTGGAGATTTCAAGCGATTTGAGGCTAATCTTTGAAATGGAAATATCTTCGTGTAAAAACTACACAGAATCATTCTCAGAAACTGCTTTGTCATCTGTGCGTTCAGTTCACAGAGTTTCACCTTTCTCTTCATAGAGCAGTTTGGAAAGACTCTGTCTGTAAAGTCTGCAAGTGATTAGTTAGACCCCTTTGAGGCCTTCGTTGGAAGCGGGATTTCTCATTTACTGCTAGACAGAAGAATTCTCAGTAAATCCTTTGTGTTGTGTGTATTCAACTCACAGAGTGGAACCTTCCTTTATTCAGAGCAGTTTTGAAAAACACTTTTTGTGGAATTTGCAAGTGGAGATTTCAAGCGATTTGACGCCAATCTTAGACATGGAAATATCTTCATATTAAAAGTACACAGAGTCATTCGTAGAAACTAGTTTGTGATGTGTGCCTTCAACTCACAGAGTTTAACCTTTCTTTTCATAGAGCAGTTTGGAAACACTCTATTTGTAAAGTCTGCAACTGGATATTTGGACCTCTTTGATTCCTTCGTTGGAAAAGGGATTTCTTCATATAACGCTAGACAGAAGAATTCTCAGTAGCTTCTTTGTGTTGTGTGTATTCAACTCACAGAGTTGAACGTTTCTTTAGAGAGAGCAGAGTTGAAACACTTTTTGTGGAATTTGCTAGTGCAGATTTCAAACGCTTCGAAGACAGTGATAGAAAAGGATATATCTTCGTATTAAAACTAGACAAAATCATTCTCAGAAAACACTTTGTGATGTGTGTGTTCAACTCACAGAGTTTAACCTTTCTTTAATCGAGCAGTTTGGAAATACACTCTTTGTAAGTCTGCAGGTGGATAATTGGCCCTCTTTGAGCCCTTCGTTGGAAACGGGATTTCCTCATATAATGCTAGACAGAAGAATTCTCAGTAACTTCTTTGTGTTGTTTGTATTCAACTCACAGATTTGAACCTTCCTTTAGAGAGGGCAGATTTGAAACACTCTGTTTTTGGAATTTGCAAGTGCAGATTTCAAGCGCTTCTAGGCCTATGGCAGAAAAGGAAATATCCTTCGTATAAAAACTACACAGAATCATTCTCAACAACTACTTTGTGATGTGTGCGTTCAACTCACAGAGTTTAACCTTTCTTTTCATAGAGCAGTTTGGAAACACTCTGTTTGTAAAGCCTGCAAGTGCTTTTTTGGACTTCATTGAGGCCTTCGTTGGAAACGGGATTTCTTCATATAATGCTAGACAGAAGAATTCTCAGTCACTTCTTTGTGTTGTGTGTATTCAAGTCACAGAGTTGAACTTTCCTTTACACAGAGCAGTTTTGAAAAACTCTTTCTGTGGAATTTGCAAGTGGAGATTTCAAGCGATTTGAGGCTAATACTTTGAAATGGAAATAGCTTCGTGTAAAAACTACACAGAATCATTGTCAGAAACTGCTTTGTTATGTGTGCGTTCAGCTCACAGAGTTCCACCTTTCTTTTCATAGAGCAGTTTGGAAAGACTCTGTCTGTAAAGTCTGCAAGTGATTACTTGGACCCCTTTGAGGACTTCGTTGGAAGCGGGATTTTTTCATTTACTGCTAGACAGAAGAATTCTCAGTAAATCCTTTGTGTTGTGTGTATTCAACTCACAGAGTGGAACCTTCCTTTATTCAGAGCAGTTTTGAAACACTCTTTTTGTGGAATTTGCAAGTGGAGATTTCAAGCGATTTGACGCCAATCTTAGACATGGAAATATCTTCATATTAAAAGTACACAGAGTCATTCGCAGAAACTAGTTTGTGATGTGTGCCTTCAACTCACAGAGTTTAACCTTTCTTTTCATAGAGCAGTTTGGAAACACTCTATTTGTAAAGTCTGCAAGTGGATATTTGGACCTCTTTGAGGCCTTCGTTGGAAACGGGATTTCTTCATATAACGCTAGACAGAAGAATTCTCAGTAACTTCTTTGTGTTGTTTGTATTCAACACACAGATTTGAACCTTCCTTTAGAGAGAGCAGATTTGAAACACTCTGTTTTTGGAATTTGCAAGTGCAGATTTCAAGCGCTTCTAGGCCTATGGCAGAAAAGGAAATATCTTCGTATAAAAACTACACAGAATCATTCTCAGAAAACACTTTGTGATGTGTGTGTTCAACTCACAGAGTTTAACCTTTCTTTAATCGAGCAGTTTGGAAATACACTCTTTGTAAGTCTGCAGCTGGATAATTGTCCCTCTATGAGCCCTTCGTTGGAAACAGGATTTCCTCTTATAATGCTAGACAGAAGAATTCTCAGTCACTTCTTTGTGTTGTGTGTATTCAAGTCACAGAGTTGAGCCTTCCTTTAGACAGAGCAGTTTTGAAAAATTCTTTCTGTGGAGTTTGCAAGTGGAGATTTCAAGCGATTTGAGGGTAATCTTTGAAATGGAAATATCTTCGTGTAAAAACTACACAGAATCATTCTCAGAAACTGCTTTGTCATCTGTGCTCTCAGTTCACAGAGTTTCACCTTTCTCTTCATAGAGCAGTTTGGAAAGACTCTGTCTGTAAAGTCTGCAAGTGATTAGTTAGACCCCTTTGAGGCCTTCGTTGGAAGCGGGATTTCTCATTTACTGCTAGACAGAAGAATTCTCAGTAAATCCTTTGTGTTGTGTGTATTCAACTCACAGAGTGGAACCTTCCTTTATTCAGAGCACTTTTGAAACACTCTTTTTGTGGAATTTGCAAGTGGAGATTTCAAGCGAATTCACGCCAATCTTAGACATGGAAACATCTTCGTATTAAAAGTACACAGAGTCATTCGCAGAAACTAGTTTGTGATGTGTGCCTTCAACTCACGGAGTTTAACCTTTCTTTTCATAGAGCAGTTTGGAAACACTCTATTTGTAAAGTCTGCAAGTGGATATTTGGACCTCTTTGAGGCCTTCGTTGGAAACGGGATTTCTTCATATAACGCTAGACAGAAGAATTCTCAGTAACTTCTTTGTGTTGTGTGTATTCAACTCACAGAGTTGAACCTTTCTTGAGAGAGAGCAGAGTTGAAACACTCTTTTTGTGGAATTTGCTAGTGCAGATTTCAAACGCTTCGAAGACAGTGATAGAAAAGGATATATCTTCGTATTAAAACTAGACAAAATCATTCTCAACAACTACTTTGTGATGTGTGCGTTCAACTCACAGAGTTTAACCTTTCTTTTCATAGAGCAGTTTGGAAACACTCTGTTTGTAAAGTCTGCAGGTGCTTATTTGGACTTCTTTGAGGCCTTCGTTGGAAACGGGATTTCTTCATATAATGCTAGACAGAAGAATTCTCAGTCACTTCTTTGTGTTGTGTGTATTCAAGTCACAGAGTTGAACCTTCCTTTACACAGAGCAGTTTTGAAAAACTCTTTCAGTGGAATTTGCAAGTGGAGATTTCAAGCGATTTGAGGCTAATCTTTGAAATGGAAATATCTTCGTGTAAAAACTACACAGAATCATTGTCAGAAACTGCTTTGTTATGTGTGCGTTCAGCTCACAGAGTTCCACCTTTGTTTTCATAGAGCAGTTTGGAAAGACTCTGTCTGTAAAGTCTGCAAGTGATTACTTGGACCCCTTTGAGGACTTCGTTGGAAGCGGGATTTTTTCATTTACTGCTAGACAGAAGAATTCTCAGTAAATCCTTTGTGTTGTGTGTATTCAACTCACAGAGTGGAACCTTCCTTTATTCAGAGCAGTTTTGAAACACTCTTTTTGTGGAATTTGCAAGTGGAGATTTCAAGCGAATTCACGCCAATCTTAGACATGGAAACATCTTCGTATTAAAAGTACACAGAGTCATTCGCAGAAACTAGTTTGTGATGTGTGCCTTCAACTCACGGAGTTTAACCTTTCTTTTCATAGAGCAGTTTGGAAACACTCTATTTGTAAAGTCTGCAAGTGGATATTTGGACCTCTTTGAGGCCTTCGTTGGAAACGGGATTTCTTCATATAACGCTAGACAGAAGAATTCTCAGTAACTTCTTTGTGTTGTGTGTATTCAACTCACAGAGTTGAACCTTTCTTTAGAGAGAGCAGAGTTGAAACACTCTTTTTGTGGAATTTGCTAGTGCAGATTTCAAACGCTTCGAAGACAGTGATAGCAAAGGATATATCTTCGTATTAAAACTAGACAAAATCATTCTCAGAAAACACTTTGTGATGTGTGTGTTCAACTCACAGAGTTTAACCTTTCTTTAATCGAGCAGTTTGGAAATACACTCTTTGTAAGTCTGCAGGTGGATAATTGGCCCTCTTTGAGCCCTTCGTTGGAAACGGGATTTCCTCATATAATGCTAGACAGAAGAATTCTCAGTCACTTCTTTGTGTTGTGTGTATTCAAGTCACAGAGTTGGACCTTCCTTTACACAGAGCAGTTTTGAAAAACTCTTTCTGTGGAATTTGCAAGTGGAGATTTCAAGCTATTTGAGGCTAATCTTTGAAATGGAAATAGCTTCGTGTAAAAACTACACAGAATCATTGTCAGAAACTGCTTTGTTATGTGTGCGTTCAGCTCACAGAGTTCCACCTTTCTTTTCATAGAGCAGTTTGGAAAGACTCTGTCTGTAAAGTCTGCAAGTGATTACTTGGACCCCTTTGAGGACTTCGTTGGAAGCGGGATTTTTTCATTTACTGCTAGACAGAAGAATTCTCAGTAAATCCTTTGTGTTGTGTGTATTCAACTCACAGAGTGGAACCTTCCTTTATTCAGAGCAGTTTTGAAAAACACTTTTTGTGGAATTTGCAAGTGGAGATTTCAAGCGATTTGACGCCAATCTTAGACATGGAAATATCTTCATATTAAAAGTACACAGAGTCATTCGCAGAAACTAGTTTGTGATGTGTGCCTTCAACTCACAGAGTTTAACCTTTCTTTTCATAGAGCAGTTTGGAAACACTCTATTTGTAAAGTCTGCAAGTGGATATTTGGACCTCTTTGAGGCCTTCGTTGGAAACGGGATTTCTTCATATAACGCTAGACAGAAGAATTCTCAGTAACTTCTTTGTGTTGTTTGTATTCAACTCACAGATTTGAACCTTCCTTTGGAGAGAGCAGATTTGAAACACTCTGTTTTTGGAATTTGCAAGTGCAGATTGCAAGCGCTTCTAGGCCTATGGCAGAAAAGGAAATATCTTCGTATAAAAACTACACAGAATCATTCTCAGAAAACTCTTTGTGATGTGTGTGTTCAACTCACAGAGTTTAACCTTTCTTTAATCGAGCAGTTTGGAAATACACTCTTTGTAAGTCTGCAGGTGGATATTTGGCCCTCTTTGAGCCCTTCGTTGGAAACGGGATTTCCTCATATAATGCTAGACAGAAGAATTCTCAGTCACTTCTTTGTGTTGTGTGTATTCAAGTCACAGAGTTGGACCTTCCTTTACACAGAGCAGTTTTGAAAAACTCTTTCTGTGGAATTTGCAAGTGGAGATTTCAAGCGATTTGAGGCTAATCTTTGAAATGGAAATAGCTTCGTGTAAAAACTACACAGAATCATTCTCAGAAACTGCTTTGTTATGTGTGCGTTCAGCTCACAGAGTTCCACCTTTCTTTTCATAGAGCAGTTTGGAAAGACTCTGTCTGTAAAGTCTGCAAGTGATTACTTGGACCCCTTTGAGGACTTCGTTGGAAGCGGGATTTTTTCATTTACTGCTGGACAGAAGAATTCTCAGTAAATCCTTTGTGTTGTGTGTATTCAACTCACAGAGTGGAACCTTCCTTTATTCAGAGCAGTTTTGAAACACTCTTTTTGTGGAATTTGCAAGTGGAGATTTCAAGCGAATTCACGCCAATCTTAGACATGGAAACATCTTCGTATTAAAAGTACACAGAATCATTCTCAGAAAACACTTTGTGATGTGTGTGTTCAACTCACAGAGTTTAACCTTTCTTTAATCGAGCAGTTTGGAAATACACTCTTTGTAATTCTGCAGGTGGATAATTGGCCCTCTTTGAGCCCTTCGTTGGAAACGGGATTTCCTCATATAATGCTAGACAGAAGAATTCTCAGTAACTTCTTTGTGTTGTTTGTATTCAACTCACAGATTTGAACCTTCCTTTAGAGAGAGCAGATTTGAAACACTCTGTTTTTGGAATTTGCAAGTGCAGATTTCAAGCGCTTCTAGGCCTATGGCAGAAAAGTAAATATCTTCGTATAAAAACTACACAGAATCATTCTCAACAACTACTTTGTGATGTGTGCGTTCAACTCACAGAGTTTAACCTTTCTTTTCATAGAGCAGTTTGGAAACACTCTGTTTGTAAAGCCTGCAAGTGCTTTTTTGGACTTCATTGAGGCCTTCGTTGGAAACGGGATTTCTTCATACAACGCTAGACAGAAGAATTCTCAGTCACTTCTTTGTGTTGTGTGTATTCAAGTCACAGAGTTGAACCTTCCTTTACACAGAGCAGTTTTGAAAAACTCTTTCTGTGGAATTTGCAAGTGGAGATTTCAAGCGATTTGAGGCTAATCTTTGAAATGGAAATAGCTTCGTGTAAAAACTACACAGAATCATTCTCAGAAACTGCTTTGTTATCTGTGCGTTCAGTTCACAGAGTTTCACCTTTCTCTTCAAAGAGCAGTTTGGAAAGACTCTGTCTGTAAAGTCTGCAAGTGATTAGTTAGACCCCTTTGAGGCCTTCGTTGGAAGCGGGATTTCTCATTTACTGCTAGACAGAAGAATTCTCAGTAAATCTTTTTGTTGTGTGTATTCAACTCACAGAGTGGAACCTTCCTTTATTCAGAGAAGTTTTGAAACACTCTTTTTGTGGAATTTGCAAGTGGAGATTTCAAGAGATTTGACGGCAATCTTAGACATGGAAATATCTTCATATTAAAAGTACACAGAATCATTCGTAGAAACTAGTTTGTGATGTGTGCCTTCAACTCACAGAGTTTAACCTTTCTTTTCATAGAGTAGTTTGGAAACACTCTATTTGTAAAGTCTGCAAGTGGATATTTGGACCTCTTTGATTCCTTCGTTGGAAAAGGGATTTCTTCATATAACGCTAGACAGAAGAATTCTCAGTAACTTCTTTGTGTTGTTTGTATTCAACTCACAGATTTGAACCTTCCTTTGGAGAGAGCAGATATGAAACACTCTGTTTTTGGAATTTGCAAGTGCAGATTTCAAGCGCTTCTAGGCCTATGGCAGAAAATTAAATATCTTCGTATAAAAACTACACAGAATCATTCTCAACAACTACTTTGTGATGTGTGCGTTCACCTCACAGAGTTTAACCTTTCTTTTCATAGAGCAGTTTGGAAACACTCTGTTTGTAAAGTCTGCAGGTGCTTATTTGGACTTCTTTGAGGCCTTCGTTGGAAACGGGATTTCTCATATAATGCTAGACAGAAGAATTCTCAGTCACTTCTTTGTGTTGTGTGTATTCAAGTCACAGAGTTGAACCTTCCTTTACACAGAGCAGTTTTGAAAAACTCTTTCTGTGGAATTTGCAAGTGGAGATTTCAAGCGATTTGAGGCTAATCTTTGAAATGGAAATATCTTCGTGTAAAAACTACACAGAATCATTCTCAGAAACTGCTTTGTCATCTGTGCGTTCAGTTCACAGAGTTTCACCTTTCTCTTCATAGAGCAGTTTGGAAAGACTCTGTCTGTAAAGTCTGCAAGTGATTAGTTAGACCCCTTTGAGGCCTTCGTTGGAAGCGGGATTTCTCATTTACTGCTAGACAGAAGAATTCTCAGTAAATCCTTTGTGTTGTGTGTATTCAACTCACAGAGTGGAACCTTCCTTTATTCAGAGCAGTTTTGAAACACTCTTTTTGTGGAATTTGCAAGTGGAGATTTCAAGCGAATTCACGCCAATCTTAGACATGGAAACATCTTCGTATTAAAAGTACACAGAGTCATTCGCAGAAACTAGTTTGTGATGTGTGCCTTCAACTCACGGAGTTTAACCTTTCTTTTCATAGAGCAGTTTGGAAACACTCTATTTGTAAAGTCTGCAAGTGGATATTTGGACCTCTTTGAGGCCTTCGTTGGAAACGGGATTTCTTCATATAACGCTAGACAGAAGAATTCTCAGTAACTTCTTTGTGTTGTTTGTATTCAACTCACAGATTTGAACCTTCCTTTAGAGAGAGCAGATTTGAAACACTCTGTTTTTGGAATTTGCAAGTGCAGATTACAAGCGCTTCTAGGCCTATGGCAGAAAAGGAAATATCTTCGTATAAAAACTACACAGAAATCATTCTCAACAACTACTTTGTGATGTGTGCGTTCAACTCACAGCAGTTTAACCTTTCTTTTCATAGAGCAGTTTGGAAACACTCTGTTTGTAAAGTCTGCAGGTGCTTATTTGGACTTCTTTGAGGCCTTCGTTGGAAACGGGATTTCTTCATATAATGCTAGACAGAAGAATTCTCAGTCACTTCTTTGTGTTGTGTGTATTCAAGTCACAGAGTTGAACCTTCCTTTACACAGAGCAGTTTTGAAAAACTCTTTCTGTGGAATTTGCAAGTGGAGATTTCAAGCGATTTGAGGCTAATCTTTGAAATGGAAATATCTTCGTGTAAAAACTACACAGAATCATTCTCAGAAACTGCTTTGTTATGTGTGCGTTCAGCTCACAGAGTTCCACCTTTCTTTTCATAGAGCAGTTTGGAAAGACTCTGTCTGTAAAGTCTGCAATTGATTACTTGGACCCCTTTGAGGACTTCGTTGGAAGCGGGATTTTTTCATTTACTGCTAGACAGAAGAATTCTCAGTAAATCCTTTGTGTTGTGTGTATTCAACTCACAGAGTGGAACCTTCCTTTATTCAGAGCACTTTTGAAACACTCTTTTTGTGGAATTTGCAAGTGGAGATTTCAAGCGAATTCACGCCAATCTTAGACATGGAAACATCTTCGTATTAAAAGTACACAGAGTCATTCGCAGAAACTAGTTTTTGATGTGTGCCTTCAACTCACGGAGTTTAACCTTTCTTTTCATAGAGCAGTTTGGAAACACTCTCTTTGTAAAGTCTGCAAGTGGATATTTGGACCTCTTTGAGGCCTTCGTTGGAAACGGGATTTCTTCATATAACGCTAGACAGAAGAATTCTCAGTAACTTCTTTGTGTTGTTTGTATTCAACACACAGATTTGAACCTTCCTTTAGAGAGAGCAGATTTGAAACACTCTGTTTTTGGAATTTGCAAGTGCAGATTTCAAGCGCTTCTAGGCCTATGGCAGAAAAGGAAATATCTTCGTATAAAAACTACACAGAATCATTCTCAACAACTACTTTGTGATGTGTGCGTTCAACTCACAGAGTTTAACCTTTCTTTTCATAGAGCAGTTTGGAAACACTCTGTTTGTAAAGCCTGCAAGTGCTTTTTTGGACTTCATTGAGGCCTTCGTTGGAAACGGGATTTCTTCATATAATGCTAGACAGAAGAATTCTCAGTCACTTCTTTGTGTTGTGTGTATTCAAGTCACAGAGTTGAACCTTCCTTTACACAGAGCAGTTTTGAGAAACTCTTTCTGTGGAATTTGCAAGTGGAGATTTCAAGCGATTTGAGGCTAATCTTTGAAATGGAAATAGCTTCGTGTAAAAACTACACAGAATCATTCTCAGAAACTGCTTTGTTATCTGTGCGTTCAGTTCACTGAGTTTCACCTTTCTCTTCATAGAGCAGTTTGGAAAGACTGTCTGTAAAGTCTGCAAGTGATTAGTTAGACCCCTTTGAGGCCTTCGTTGGAAGCGGGATTTCTCATTTACTGCTAGACAGAAGAATTCTCAGTAAATCCTTTGTGTTGTGTGTATTCAACTCACAGAGTGGAACCTTCCTTTATTCAGAGCAGTTTTGAAACACTCTTTTTGTGGAATTTGCAAGTGGAGATTTCAAGCGAATTCACGCCAATCTTACACATGGAAACATCTTCGTATTAAAAGTACACAGAGTCATTCGCAGAAACTAGTTTGTGATGTGTGCCTTCAACTCACGGAGTTTAACCTTTCTTTTCATAGAGCAGTTTGGAAACACTCTATTTGTAAAGTCTGCAAGTGGATATTTGGACCTCTTTGAGGCCTTCGTTGGAAACGGGATTTCTTCATATAACGCTAGACAGAAGAATTCTCAGTAACTTCTTTGTGTTGTTTGTATTCAACTCACAGATTTGAACCTTCCTTTAGAGAGAGCAGATTTGAAACACTCTGTTTTTGGAATTTGCAAGTGGAGATTACAAGCGCTTCTAGGCCTATGGCAGAAAAGGAAATATCTTCGGTATAAAAACTACACAGAATCATTCTCAACAACTACTTTGTGATGTGTGCGTTCAACTCACAGAGTTTAACCTTTCTTTTCATAGAGCAGTTTGGAAACACTCTGTTTGTAAAGTCTGCAGGTGCTTATTTGGACTTCTTTGAGGCCTTGGTTGGAAACGGGATTTCTTCATATAATGCTAGACAGAAGAATTCTCAGTCACTTCTTTGTGTTGTGTGTATTCAAGTCACAGAGTTGAACCTTCCTTTACACAGAGCAGTTTTGAAAAACTCTTTCTGTGGAATTTGCAAGTGGAGATTTCAAGCGATTTGAGGCTAATCTTTGAAATGGAAATATCTTCGTGTAAAAACTACACAGAAGCATTCTCAGAAACTGCTTTGTCATCTGTGCGTTCAGTTCACAGAATTTCACCTTTCTCTTCATAGAGCAGTTTGGAAAGACTCTGTCTTTAAAGTCTGCAAGTGATTAGTTAGACCCCTTTGAGGCCTTCGTTGGAAGCGGGATTTCTCATTTACTGCTAGACAGAAGAATTCTCAGTAAATCCTTTGTGTTGTGTGTACTCAACTCACAGAGTGGAACCTTCCTTTATTCAGAGCAGTTTTGAAACACTCTTTTTGTGGAATTTGCAAGTGGAGATTTCAAGCGATTTGACGCCAATCATAGACATGGAAATATCTTCATATTAAAAGTACACAGAGTCATTCGTAGAAACTAGTTTGTGATGTGTGCCTTCAACTTACAGAGTTTAACCTTTCTTTTCATAGAGCAGTTGGGAAACACTCTATTTGTAAAGTCTGCAAGTGGATATTTGGACCTCTTTGAGGCCTTCGTTGGAAACGGGATTTCTTCATATAACGCTAGACAGAAGAATTCTCAGTAACTTCTTTGTGTTGTGTGTATTCCACTCACAGAGTTGAACCTTTCTTGAGAGAGAGCAGAGTTGAAACACTCTGTTTGTGGAATTTGCTAGTGCAGATTTCAAACGCTTCGAAGACAGTGATAGAAAAGGATATATCTTCGTATTAAAACTAGACAAAATCATTCTCAGAAAACACTTTGTGATGTGTGTGTTCAACTCACAGGAGTTTAACCTTTCTTTAATCGAGCAGTTTGGAAATACACTCTTTGTAAGTCTGCAGCTGGATAATTGTCCCTCTATGAGCCCTTCGTTGGAAACGGGATTTCCTCATATAATGCTAGACAGAAGAATTCTCAGTAACTTCTTTGTGTTGTTTGTATTCAACTCACCGATTTGAACCTTCCTTTGGAGATAGCAGATTTGAAACACTCTGTTTTTGGAATTTGCAAGTGCAGATTGCAAGCGCTTCTAGGCCTATGGCAGAAAAGGAAATATCTTCGTATAAAAACTACACAGAATCATTCTCAACAACTACTTTGTGATGTGTGCGTTCAACTCACAGAGTTTAACCTTTCTTTTCATAGAGCAGTTTGGAAACACTCTGTTTGTAAAGTCTGCAGGTGCTTATTTGGACTTCTTTGAGGCCTTCGTTGGAAACGGGATTTCTTCATATAATGCTAGACAGAAGAATTCTCAGTCACTTCTTTGTGTTGTGTGTATTCAAGTCACAGAGTTGAACCTTCCTTTACACAGAGCAGTTTTGAAAAACTCTTTCTGTGGAATTTGCAAGTGGAGATTTCAAGCGATTTGAGGCTAATCTTTGAAATGGAAATATCTTCGTGTAAAAACTACACAGAATCATTCTCAGAAACTGCTTTGTTATGTGTGCGTTCAGCTCACAGAGTTCCACCTTTCTTTTCATAGAGCAGTTTGGAAAGACTCTGTAAAGTCTGCAAGTGATTACTTGGACCCCTTTGAGGACTTCATTGGAAGCGGGATTTTTTCATTTACTGCTAGACAGAAGAATTCTCAGTAAATCCTTTGTGTTGTGTGTATTCAACTCACAGAGTGGAACCTTCCTTTATTCAGAGCAGTTTTGAAAAACACTTTTCGTGGAATTTGCAAGTGGAGATTTCAAGCGATTTGACGCCAATCTTAGACATGGAAATATCTTCATATTAAAAGTACACAGAGTCATTCGTAGAAACTAGTTTGTGATGTGTGCCTTCAACTCACAGAGTTTAACCTTTCTTTTCATAGAGCAGTTGGGAAACACTCTATTTGTAAAGTCTGCAAGTGGATATTTGGACCTCTTTGAGGCCTTCGTTGGAAACGGGATTTCTTCATATAACGCTAGACAGAAGAATTCTCAGTAACTTCTTTGTGTTGTTTGTATTCAACTCACAGATTTGAACCTTCCTTTGGAGAGAGCAGATTTGAAACACTCTGTTTTTGGAATTTGCAAGTGCAGATTGCAAGCGCTTCTAGGCCTATGGCAGAAAAGGAAATATCTTCGTATAAAAACTACACAGAATCATTCTCAACAACTACTTTGTGATGTGTGCGTTCAACTCACAGAGTTTAACCTTTCTTTTCATAGAGCAGTTTGGAAACACTCTGTTTGTAAAGCCTGCAAGTGCTTTTTTGGACTTCATTGAGGCCTTCGTTGGAAACGGGATTTCTTCATATAATGCTAGACAGAAGAATTCTCAGTCACTTCTTTGTGTTGTGTGGATTCAAGTCACAGAGTTGAACCTTCCTTTACACAGAGCAGTTTTGAAAAACTCTTTCTGTGGAATTTGCAAGTGGAGATTTCAAGCGATTTGAGGCTAATCTTTGAAATGGAAATATCTTCGTGTAAAAACTACACAGAATCATTCTCAGAAACTGCTTTGTCATCTGTGCGTTCAGTTCACAGAGTTTCACCTTTCTCTTCATAGAGCAGTTTGGAAAGACTCTGTCTGTAAAGTCTGCAAGTGATTAGTTAGACCCCTTTGAGGCCTTCGTTGGAAGCGGGATTTCTCATTTACTGCTAGACAGAAGAATTCTCAGTAAATCCTTTGTGTTGTGTGTATTCAACTCACAGAGTGGAACCTTCCTTTATTCAGAGCAGTTTTGAAACACTCTTTTTGTGGAATTTGCAAGTGGAGATTTCAAGCGAATTCACGCCAATCTTAGACATGGAAACATCTTCGTATTAAAAGTACACAGAGTCATTCGTAGAAACTAGTTTGTGATGTGTGCCTTCAACTCACAGAGTTTAACTTTTCTTTTCATAGAGCAGTTCGGAAACACTCTGTTTGTAAAGTCTGCAAGTGGATATTTGGACCTCTTTGAGGCCTTCGTTGGAAACGGGATTTCTTCATACAACGCTAGACAGAAGAATTCTCAGTAACTTCTTTGTGTTGTGTGTATTCAACTCACAGAGTTGAACCTTTCTTTAGAAAGAGCAGAGTTGAAACACTCTGTTTTTGGAATTTGCAAGTGCAGATTTCAAGCGATTCTAGGCCTATGGCAGAAAAGGAAATATCTTCGTATAAAAACTACACAGAATCATTCTCAACAACTACTTTGTGATGTGTGCGTTCAACTCACAAAGTTTAACCTTTCTTTTCATAGAGCAGTTTGGAAACACGCTGTTTGTAAAGCCTGCAAGTGCTTTTTTGGACTTCATTGAGGCCTTCGTTGGAAACGGGATTTCTTCATATAATGCTAGACAGAAGAATTCTCAGTAAATCATTTGTGTTGCGTTTATTCAACTCACAGAGTGGAACCTTCCTTTATTCAGAGCAGTTTTGAAACACTCTTTTTGTGGAATTTGCAAGTGGAGATTTCAAGCGATTTGACGCCAATCTTAGACATGGAAATATCTTCATATTAAAAGTACACAGAATCATTCGTAGAAACTAGTTTGTGATGTGTGCCTTCAACTCACAGAGTTTAACCTTTCTTTTCATAGAGCAGTTTGGAAACACTCTATTTGTAAAGTCTGCAAGTGGATATTTGGACCTCTTTGAGGCCTTCGTTGGAAATGGGATTTCTTCATACAACACTAGACAGAAGAATTCTCAGTAACTTCTTTGTGTTCTGTGTATTCAACTCACAGAGTTGAACCTTTCTTTAGAGAGAGCAGAGTTGAAACACTCTGTTTTTGGAATTTGCAAGTGCAGATTTCAAGCGATTCTAGGCCTATGGCAGGAAAGGAAATATCTTCGTATAAAAACTACACAGAATCATTCTCAACAACTACTTTGTGATGTGTGCGTTCAACTCACAGAGTTTAACCTTTCTTTTCATAGAGCAGTTTGGAAACACTCTGTTTGTAAAGCCTGCAAGTGCTTTGTTGGACTTCATTGAGGCCTTCGTTGGAAACGGGATTTCTTCATACAACGCTAGACAGAAGAATTCTCAGTAACTTCTTTGTGTTGTGTGTATTCAACTCACAGAGTTGAACCTTTCTTTAGAGAGAGCAGAGTTGAAACACTCTGTTTTTGGAATTTGGAAGTGCAGATTTCAAGGGATTCTAGGCCTATGGCAGAAAAGGAAATATCTTCGTATAAAAACTACACAGAATCATTCTCAACAACTACTTTGTGATGTGTGCGTTCAACTCACAGAGTTTAACCTTTCTTTTCATAGAGCAGTTTGGAAACACTCTGTTTGTAAAGCCTGCAAGTGCTTTTTTGGACTTCATTGAGGCCTTCGTTGGAAACGGGATTTCTTCATATAATGCTAGACAGAAGAATTCTCAGTCACTTCCCTGTGTTGTGTGTATTCAAGTCACAGAGTTGAACCTTCCTTTACACAGAGCAGTTTAGAAAAACTCTTTCTGTGGAATTTGCAAGTGGAGATTTCAAGCGATTTGAGGCTAATCTTTGAAATGGAAATAGCTTCGTGTAAAAACTACACAGAATCATTCTCAGCAAACTGCTTTGTCATCTGTGCGTTCAGTTCACAGAGTTTCACCTTTCTCTTCATAGAGCAGTTTGGAAAGACTCTGTCTGTAAAGTCTGCAAGTGATTAGTTAGACCCCTTTGAGGCCTTCGTTGGAAGCGGGATTTCTCATTTACTGCTAGACAGAAGAATTCTCAGTAAATCCTTTGTGTTGTGTGTATTCAACTCACAGAGTGGAACCTTCCTCTATTCAGAGCAGTTTTGAAACATTCTTTTTGTGGAATTTGCAGGTGGAGATTTCAAGCGAATTCACGCCAATCTTAGACATGGAAACATCCTTCGTATTAAAAGTACACAGAGTCATTCGTAGAAACTAGATTGTGATGTGTGCCTTCAACTCACAGAGTTTAACCTTTCTTTTCATAGAGCAGTTTGGAAACACTCTATTTGTAAAGTCTGCAAGTGGATATTTGGACCTCTTTGAGGCCTTCGTTGGAAACGGGATTTCTTCATACAACGCTAGACAGAAGAATTCTCAGTAACTTCTTTGTGTTGTGTGTATTCAACTCACAGAGTTGAACCTTTCTTTAGAGAGAGCAGAGTTGAAACACTCTGTTTTTGGAATTTGCAACTGCAGATTTCAAGCGATTCTAGGCCAATAGCAGAAAAGGAAATATCTTCGTATAAAAACTACACAGAATCATTCTCAACAACTACTTTGTGATGTGTGCGTTCAACTCACAGAGTTTAACCTTTCTTTTCATAGAGCAGTTTGGAAACACTCTGTTTGTAAAGTCTGCAGGTGCTTATTTGGACTTCTTTGAGGCCTTCGTTGGAAACGGGATTTCTTCATATAATGCTAGACAGAAGAATTCTCAGTCACTTCTTTGTGTTGTGTGTATTCAAGTCACAGAGTTGAACCTTCCTTTACACAGAGCAGTTTTGAAAAACTCTTTCTGTGGAATTTGCAAGTGGAGATTTCAAGCGATTTGAGGCTAATCTTTGAAATGGAAATAGCTTCGTGTAAAAACTACACAGAATCATTCTCAGAAACTGCTTTGTTATGTGTGCGTTCAGCTCACAGAGTTCCACCTTTGTTTTCATAGAGCAGTTTGGAAAGACTCTGTCTGTAAAGTCTGCAAGTGATTACTTGGACCCCTTTGAGGACTTCGTTGGAAGCGGGATTTTTTCATTTACTGCTAGACAGAAGAATTCTCAGTAAATCCTTTGTGTTGTGTGTATTCAACTCACAGAGTGGAACCTTCCTTTATTCAGAGCAGTTTTGAAACACTCTTTTTGTGGAATTTGCAAGTGGAGATTTCAAGCGAATTCACGCCAATCTTAGACATGGAAACATCTTCGTATTAAAAGTACACAGAGTCATTCGTAGAAACTAGTTTGTGATGTGTGCCTTCAACTCACAGAGTTTAACCTTTCTTTTCATAGAGCAGTTGGGAAACACTCTATTTGTAAAGTCTGCAAGTGGATATTTGGACCTCTTTGAGGCCTTCGTTGGAAACGGGATTTCTTCATATAACGCTAGACAGAAGAATTCTCAGTAACTTCTTTGTGTTGTTTGTATTCAACACACAGATTTGAACCTTCCTTTAGAGAGAGCAGATTTGAAACACTCTGTTTTTGGAATTTGCAAGTGCAGATTTCAAGCGCTTCTAGGCCTATGGCAGAAAAGGAAATATCTTCGTATAAAAACTACACAGGAATCATTATCAACAACTACTTTGTGATGTGTGCTTTCAACTCACAGAGTTTAACCTTTCTTTTCTTAGAGCAGTTTGGAAACACTCTGTTTGTAAAGCCTGCAAGTGCTTTTTTGGACTTCATTGAGGCCTTCGTTGGAAACGGGATTTCTTCATATAATGCTAGACAGAAGAATTCTCAGTCAGTTCTTTGTGTTGTGTGTATTCAAGTCACAGAGGTGAACCTTCTTTTAGACAGAGCAGTTTTGAAAAATTCTTTCTGTGGAATTTGCAATTGGAGATTTTAAGCGATTTGAGGCTAATCTTTGAAATGGAAATATCTTCGTGTAAAAACTACACAGAATCATTCTCAGAAACTGCTTTGTCATCTGTGCGTTCAGTTCACAGAGTTTCACCTTTCTCTTCATAGAGCAGTTTGGAAAGACTCTGTCTGTAAAGTCTGCAAGTGATTAGTTAGACCCCTTTGAGGCCTTCGTTGGAAGCGGGATTTCTCATTTACTGCTAGACAGAAGAATTCTCAGTAAATCCTTTGTGTTGTGTGTATTCAACTCACAGAGTGGAACCTTCCTTTATTCAGAGCAGTTTTGAAACACTCTTTTTGTGGAATTTGCAAGTGGAGATTTCAAGCGATTTGACGCCAATCTTAGACATGGAAATATCTTCATATTAAAAGTACACAGAGTCATTCGTAGAAACTAGTTTGTGATGTGTGCCTTCAACTCACAGAGTTTAACCTTTCTTTTCATAGAGCAGTTGGGAAACACTCTATTTGTAAAGTCTGCAAGTGGATATTTGGACCTCTTTGAGGCCTTCGTTGGAAATGGGATTTCTTCATACAACACTAGACAGAAGAATTCTCAGTAACTTCTTTGTGTTGTTTGTATTCAACTCACAGATTTGAACCTTCCTTTAGAGAGAGCAGATTTGAAACACTCTGTTTTTGGAATTTGCAAGTGCAGATTACAAGCGCTTCTAGGCCTATGGCAGAAAAGGAAATATCTTCGTATAAAAACTACACAGAATCATTCTCAACAACTACTTTGTGATGTGCGCGTTCAACTCACAGAGTTTAAACTTTCTTTTCAGAGAGCAGTTTGGAAACACTCTGTTTGTAAAGCCTGCAAGTGCTTTTTTGGACTTCATTGAGGCCTTCGTTGGAAACGGGATTTCTTCATATAATGCTAGACAGAAGAATTCTCAGTCACTTCTTTGTGTTGTGTGTATTCAAGTCACAGAGTTGAACCTTCCTTTAGACAGAGCAGTTTTGAAAAATTCTTTCTGTGGAGTTTGCAAGTGGAGATTTCAAGCGATTTGAGGCTAATCTTTGAAATGGAAATATCTTCGTGTAAAAACTACACAGAATCATTCTCAGAAACTGCTTTGTCATCTGTGCGTTCAGTTCACAGAGTTTCACCTTTCTCTTCATAGAGCAGTTTGGAAAGACTCTGTCTGTAAAGTCTGCAAGTGATTAGTTAGACCCCTTTGAGGCCTTCGTTGGAAGCGGGATTTCTCATTTACTGCTAGACAGAAGAATTCTCAGTAAATCCTTTGTGTTGTGTGTATTCAACTCACAGAGTGGAACCTTCCTTTATTCAGAGCAGTTTTGAAAAACACTTTTTGTGGAATTTGCAAGTGGAGATTTCAAGCGATTTGACGCCAATCTTAGACATGGAAATATCTTCATATTAAAAGTACACAGAGTCATTCGCAGAAACTAGTTTGTGATGTGTGCCTTCAACTCACGGAGTTTAACCTTTCTTTTCATAGAGCAGTTTGGAAACACTCTATTTGTAAAGTCTGCAAGTGGATATTTGGACCTCTTTGAGGCCTTCGTTGGAAACGGGATTTCTTCATATAACGCTAGACAGAAGAATTCTCAGTAACTTCTTTGTGTTGTGTGTATTCAACTCACAGAGTTGAACCTTTCTTTAGAGAGAGCAGAGTTGAAACACTCTGTTTTTGGAATTTGCAACTGCAGATTTCAAGCGATTCTAGGCCTATGGCAGAAAAGGAATTATCTTCGTATAAAAACTACACAGAATCATTCTCAACAACTACTTTGTGATGTGTGCGTTCAACTCACAGAGTTTAACCTTTCTTTTCATAGAGCAGTTTGGAAACACTCTGTTTGTAAAGCCTGCAAGTGCCTTTTTGGACTTCATTGAGGCCTTCGTTGGAAACGGGATTTCTTCATATAATGCTAGACAGAAGAATTCTCAGTCACTTCTTTGTGTTGTGTGTATTCAAGTCACAGAGTTGAACCTTCCTTTAGACAGAGCAGTTTTGAAAAATTCTTTCTGTGGAGTTTGCAAGTGGAGATTTCAAGCGATTTGAGGCTAATCTTTGAAATGGAAATATCTTCGTGTAAAAACTACACAGAATCATTCTCAGAAACTGCTTTGTTACGTGTGCGTTCAGCTCACAGAGTTCCACCTTTCTTTTCATAGAGCAGTTTGGAAAGACTCTGTCTGTAAAGTCTGCAAGTGATTACTTGGACCCCTTTGAGGACTTCGTTGGAAGCGGGATTTTTTCATTTACTGCCAGACAGAAGAATTCTCAGTAAATCCTTTGTGTTGTGTGTATTCAACTCACAGAGTGGAACCTTCCTTTATTCAGAGCAGTTTTGAAACACTCTTTTTGTGGAATTTGCAAGTGGAGATTTCAAGCGAATTCACGCCAATCTTAGACATGGAAACATCTTCGTATTAAAAGTACACAGAGTCATTCGCAGAAACTAGTTTGTGATGTGTGCCTTCAACTCACAGAGTTTAACCTTTCTTTTCATAGAGCAGTTTGGAAACACTCTATTTGTAAAGTCTGCAAGTGGATATTTGGACCTCTTTGAGGCCTTCGTTGGAAACGGGATTTCTTCATATAACGCTAGACAGAAGAATTCTCAGTAACTTCTTTGTGTTGTGTGTATTCAACTCACAGAGTTGAACCTTTCTTGAGAGAGAGCAGAGTGGAAACACTCTTTTTGTGGAATTTGCTAGTGCAGATTTCAAACGCTTCGAAGACAGTGATAGAAAAGGATATATCTTCGTATTAAAACTAGACAAAATCATTCTCAGAAAACACTTTGTGATGTGTGTGTTCAACTCACAGAGTTTAACCTTTCTTTAATCGAGCAGTTTGGAAATACACTCTTTGTAAGTCTGCAGCTGGATAATTGTCCCTCTATGAGCCCTTCGTTGGAAACAGGATTTCCTCTTATAATGCTAGACAGAAGAATTCTCACTAAATCCTTTCTGTTGTGTGTATTCAACTCACAGAGTTGAACCTTCCTTTATTCAGAGCAGTTTTGAAACACTCTTTTTGTGGAATTTGCAAGTGGAGATTTCAAGCGATTTCACGCCAATCTTAGACATGGAAATATCTTCGTATTAAAAGTACACAGAGTCATTCGCAGAAACTAGTTTGTGATGTGTGCCTTCAATTCACAGAGTTTAACTTTCTTTTCATAGAGCAGTTTGGAAACACTCTATTTGTAAAGTCTGCAAGTGGATATTTCGACCTCTTTGAGGCCTTCATTGGAAACGGGATTTCTTCATATAACGCTAGACAGAAGAATTCTCACTAACTTCTTTGTGCTGTGTGTATTCAACTCACAGAGTTGAACCTTTCTTGAGAGAGAGCAGATTTGAAACAATCTTTTGTGGAATTTGCTAGTGAAGATTTCAAACGCTTCGAACACAATGATAGAAAAGGATATAACTTCGTATTAAAACTAGACAAAATCATTCTCAGAAAACACTTTGTGATGTGTGTGTTCAACTCACAGAGTTTAACCTTTCTTTAATTGAGCAGTTTGGAAATACACTCTTTGTAAATGTGAAAGTGGATAATTGGCCCTTTTTGAGCCCTTCGTTGGAAAAGGGATTTCCTCATATAATGCTAGACAGAAGAATTCTCAGTAACTTCTTTGTGTTGTTTGTATTCAACTCACAGATTTGAACCTTCCTTTGGAGAGAGCAGATTTGAAACACTCTGTTTTTGGAATTTGCAAGTGCAGATTGCAAGCGCTTACTAGGCCTATGGCAGAAAAGGAAATATACTTCGTATAAAAACTACACAGAATCATTCTCAACAACTACTTTGTGATGTGTGCGTTCAACTCACAGAGTTTAACCTTTCTTTTCATAGAGCAGTTTGGAAACACTCTGTTTGTAAAGTCTGCAGGTGCTTATTTGGACTTCTTTGAGGCCTTCGTTGGAAACGGGATTTCTTCATATAATGCTAGACAGAAGAATTCTCAGTCACTTCTTTGTGTTGTGTGTATTCAAGTCACAGAGTTGAACCTTCCTTTACACAGAGCAGTTTTGAAAAACTCTTTCTGTGGAATTTGCAAGTGGAGATTTCAAGCGATTTGAGGCTAATCTTTGAAATGGAAATAGCTTCGTGTAAAAACTACACAGAATCATTGTCAGAAACTGCTTTGTTATGTGTGCGTTCAGCTCACAGAGTTCCACCTTTCTTTTCATAGAGCAGTTTGGAAAGACTCTGTCTGTAAAGTCTGCAAGTGATTACTTGGACCCCTTTGAGGACTTCGTTGGAAGCGGGATTTTTTCATTTACTGCTAGACAGAAGAATTCTCAGTAAATCCTTTGTGTTGTGTGTATTCAACTCACAGAGCGGAACCTTCCTTTATTCAGAGAAGTTTTGAAAAACACTTTTTGTGGAATTTGCAAGTGGAGATTTCAAGCGATTTGACGCCAATCTTAGACATGGAAATATCTTCATATTAAAAGTACACAGAGTCATTCGTAAAAACTAGTTTGTGATGTGTGCCTTCAACTCACAGAGTTTAACCTTTCTTTTCATAGAGCAGTTTGGAAACACTCTATTTGTAAAGTCTGCAAGTGGATATTTGGACCTCTTTGAGGCCTTCGTTGGAAACGGGATTTCTTCATACAACGCTAGACAGAAGAATTCTCAGTAACTTCTTTGTGTTGTGTGTATTCAACTCACAGAGTTGAACCTTTCTTTAGAGAGAGCAGAGTTGAAACACTCTGTTTTTGGAATTTGCAAGTGCAGATATCAAGCGATTCTAGGCCTATGGCAGAAAAGGAAATATCTTCGTATAAAAACTGCACAGAATCATTCTCAGAAAACACTTTGTGATGTGTGTGTTCAACTCACAGAGTTTAACCTTTCTTTAATCGAGCAGTTTGGAAATACACTCTTTGTAAGTCTGCAGCTGGATAATTGTCCCTCTATGAGCCCTTCGTTGGAAACGGGATTTCCTCATATAATGCTAGACAGAAGAATTCTCAGTCACTTCTTTGTGTTGTGTGTATTCAAGTCACAGAGTTGAACCTTCCTTTACACAGAGCAGTTTTGAAAAACTCTTTCTGTGGAATTTGCAAGTGGAGATTTCAAGCGATTTGAGGCTAATCTTTGAAATGGAAATATCTTCGTGTAAAAACTACACAGAATCATTCTCAGAAACTGCTTTGTCATCTGTGCGTTCAGTTCACAGAGTTTCACCTTTCTCTTCATAGAGCAGTTTGGAAAGACTCTGTCTGTAAAGTCTGCAAGTGATTAGTTAGACCCCTTTGAGGCCTTCGTTGGAAGCGGGATTTCTCATTTACTGCTAGACAGAAGAATTCTCAGTAAATCCTTTGTGTTGTGTGTATTCAACTCACAGAGTGGAACCTTCCTTTATTCAGAGCAGTTTTGAAAAACACTTTTTGTGGAATTTGCAAGTGGAGATTTCAAGCGATTTGACGCCAATCTTAGACATGGAAATATCTTCATATTAAAAGTACACAGAGTCATTCGCAGAAACTAGTTTGTGATGTGTGCCTTCAACTCACGGAGTTTAACCTTTCTTTTCATAGAGCAGTTTGGAAACACTCTATTTGTAAAGTCTGCAAGTGGATATTTGGACCTCTTTGAGGCCTTCGTTGGAAACGGGATTTCTTCATATAACGCTAGACAGAAGAATTCTCAGTAACTTCTTTGTGTTGTGTGTATTCAACTCACAGAGTTGAACCTTTCTTTAGAGGGAGCAGAGGTGAAACACTCTTTTTGTGGAATTTGCTAGTGTAGATTTCAAACGCTTCGAAGACAGTGATAGAAAAGGATATATCTTCGTATTAAAAGTAGACAAAATCATTCTCAGAAAACTCTTTGTGATGTGTGTGTTCAACTCACAGAGTTTAACCTTTCTTTAATCGAGCAGTTTGGAAATACACTCTTTGTAAGTCTGCAGGTGGATATTTGGCCCTCTTTGAGCCCTTCGTTGGAAACGGGATTTCCTCATATAATGCTAGACAGAAGAATTCTCAGTAACTTCTTTGTGTTGTTTGTATTCAACACACAGATTTGAACCTTCCTTTAGAGAGAGCAGATTTGAAACACTCTGTTTTTGGAATTTGCAAGTGCAGATTTCATGCGCTTCTAGGCCTATGGCAGAAAAGGAAATATCTTCGTATAAAAACTACACAGAATCATTCTCAACAACTACTTTGTGATGTGTGCGTTCAACTCACAGAGTTTAACCTTTCTTTTCATAGAGCAGTTTGGAAACACTCTGTTTGTAAAGTCTGCAGGTGCTTATTTGGACTTCTTTGAGGCCTTCGTTGGAAACGGGATTTCTTCATGTAATGCTAGACAGAAGAATTCTCAGTCACTTCTTTGTGTTGTGTGTATTCAAGTCACAGAGTTGAACCTTCCTTTACACAGAGCAGTTTTGAAAAACTCTTTCTGTGGAATTTGCAAGTGGAGATTTCAAGCGATTTGAGGCTAATCTTTGAAATGGAAATATCTTCGTGTAAAAACTACACAGAATCATTCTCAGAAACTGCTTTGTCATCTGTGCGTTCAGTTCACAGAGTTTCACCTTTCTCTTCATAGAGCAGTTTGGAAAGTCTCTGTCTGTAAAGTCTGCAAGTGATTAGTTAGACCCCTTTGAGGCCTTCGTTGGAAGTGGGATTTCTCATTTACTGCTAGACAGAAGAATTCTCAGTAAATCCTTTGTGTTGTGTGTATTCAACTCACAGAGTGGAACCTTCCTTTATTCAGAGCAGTTTTGAAACACTCTTTTTGTGGAATTTGCAAGTGGAGATTTCAAGCGAATTCACGCCAATCTTAGACATGGAAACATCTTCGTATTAAAAGTACACAGAGTCATTCGTAGAAACCAGTTTGTGATGTGTGCCTTCGACTCACAGAGTTTAACCTTTCTTTTCATAGAGCAGTTTGGAAACACTCTATTTGTAAAGTCTGCAAGTAGATATTTGGACCTCTTTGAGGCCTTTGTTGGAAACGGGCTTTCTTCATACAACGCCAGACAGAAGAATTCTCAGTAACTTCTTTGTGTTGTTTGTATTCAACTCACAGATTTGAACCTTCCTTTAGAGAGAGCAGATTTGAAACACTCTGTTTTTGGAATTTGCAAGTGCAGATTACAAGCGCTTCTAGGCCTATGGCAGAAAAGGAAATATCTTCGTATAAAAACTACACAGAATCATTCTCAGAAAACACTTTGTGATGTGTGTGTTCAACTCACAGAGTTTAACCTTTCTTTAATCGAGCAGTTTGGAAATACACTCTTGTAAGTCTGCAGCTGGATAATTGTCCCTCTATGAGCCCTTCGTTGGAAACGGGATTTCCTCTTATAATGCTAGACAGAAGAATTCTCAGTCACTTCTTTGTGTTGTGTGTATTCAAGTCACAGAGTTGAACCTTCCTTTACACAGAGCAGTTTTGAAAAACTCTTTCTGTGGAATTTGCAAGTGGAGATTTCAAGCGATTTGAGGCTAATCTTTGAAATGGAAATAGCTTCGTGTAAAAACTACACAGAATCATTCTCAGAAACTGCTTTGTTATCTGTGCGTTCAGTTCACAGAGTTTCACCTTTCTCTTCATAGAGCAGTTTGGAAAGACTCTGTCTGTAAAGTCTGCAAGTGATTAGTTAGACCCCTTTGAGGCCTTCGTTGGAAGCGGGATTTCTCATTTACTGCTAGACAGAAGAATTCTCAGTAAATCCTTTGTGTTGTGTGTATTCAACTCACAGAGTGGAACCTTCCTTTATTCAGAGCAGTTTTGAAACACTCCTTTGTGGAATTTGCAAGTGGAGATTTCAAGCGAATTCACGCCAATCTTAGACATGGAAACATCTTCGTATTAAAAGTACACAGAGTCATTCGCAGAAACTAGTTTGTGATGTGTGCCTTCAACTCACAGAGTTTAACCTTTCTTTTCATAGAGCAGTTTGGAAACACTCTATTTGTAAAGTCTGCAAGTGGATATTTGGACCTCTTTGAGGCCTTCGTTGGAAACGGGATTTCTTCATATAACGCTAGACAGAAGAATTCTCAGTAACTTCTTTGTGTTGTGTGTATTCCACTCACAGAGTTGAACCTTTCTTGAGAGAGAGCAGAGTTGAAACACTCTTTTTGTGGAATTTGCTAGTGCAGATTTCAAACGCTTCGAAGACAGTGATAGAAAAGGATATATCTTCGTATTAAAACTAGACAAAATCATTCTCAACAACTACTTTGTGATGTGTGCGTTCAACTCACAGAGTTTAACCTTTCTTTTCATAGAGCAGTTTGGAAACACTCTGTTTGTAAAGTCTGCAGGTGCTTATTTGGACTTCTTTGAGGCCTTCGTTGGAAACGGGATTTCTTCATATAATGCTAGACAGAAGAATTCTCAGTCACTTCTTTGTGTTGTGTGTATTCAAGTCACACAGTTGAACCTTCCTTTACACAGAGCAGTTTTGAAGAACTCTTTCTGTGGAATTTGCAAGTGGAGATTTCAAGGAATTTCAGGCTAATCTTTGAAATGGAAATATCTTCGTGTGAAAACTACACAGAATCATTCTCAGAAACTGCTTTGTTATGTGTGCGTTCAGCTCACAGAGTTCCACCTTTCTTTTCATAGAGCAGTTTGGAAAGACTCTGTCTGTAAAGTCTGCAAGTGATTACTTGGACCCCTTTGAGGACTTCGTTGGAAGCGGGATTTTTTCATTTACTGCTAGACAGAAGAATTCTCAGTAAATCCTTTGTGTTGTGTGTATTCAACTCACAGAGTGGAACCTTCCTTTATTCAGAGCAGTTTTGAAACACTCTTTTTGTGGAATTTGCAAGTGGAGATTTCAAGCGAATTCACGCCAATCTTAGACATGGAAACATCTTCGTATTAACAGTACACAGAGTCATTCGCAGAAACTAGTTTGTGATGTGTGCCTTCAACTCACGGAGTTTAACCTTTCTTTTCATAGAGCAGTTTGGAAACACTCTATTTGTAAAGTCTGCAAGTGGATATTTGGACCTCTTTGAGGCCTTCGTTGGAAACGGGATTTCTTCATATAACGCTAGACAGAAGAATTTTCAGTAACTTCTTTGTGTTGTGTATATTCAACTCACAGAGTTGAACCTTTCTTTAGAGAGAGCAGTGTTGAAACACTCTTTTTGTGGAATTTGCTAGTGCAGATTTCAAACGCTTCGAAGACAGTGATAGCAAAGGATATATCTTCGTATTAAAACTTGACAAAATCATTCTCAGAAAACACTTTGTGATGTGTGTGTTCAACTCACAGAGTTTAACCTTTCTTTAATCGAGCAGTTTGGAAATACACTCTTTGTAAGTCTGCAGGTGGATAATTGGCCCTCTTTGAGCCCTTCGTTGGAAACGGGATTTCCTCATATAATGCTAGACAGAAGAATTCTCAGTCACTTCTTTGTGTTGCGTGTATTCAAGTCACAGAGTTGAACCTTCCTTTACACAGAGCAGTTTTGAAAAACTCTTTCTGTGGAATTTGCAAGTGGAGATTTCAAGCGATTTGAGGCTAATCTTTGAAATGGAAATATCTTCGTGTAAAAACTACACAGAATCATTCTCAGAAACTGCTTTGTTATGTGTGCGTTCAGCTCACAGAGTTCCACCTTTCTTTTCATAGAGCAGTTTGGAAAGACTCTGTCTGTAAAGTCTGCAAGTGATTACTTGGACCCCTTTGAGGACTTCGTTGGAAGCGGGATTTTTTCATTTACTGCTAGACAGAAGAATTCTCAGTAAATCCTTTGTGTTGTGTTTATTCAACTCACAGAGTGGAACTTTCCTTTATTCAGAGCAGTTTTGAAACACTCTTTTTGTGGAATTTGCAAGTGGAGATTTCAAGCGATTTGACGCCAATCTTAGACATGGAAATATCTTCATATTAAAAGTACACAGAGTCATTCTTAGAAACTAGTTTGTGAAGTGTGCCTTCAACTCACAGAGTTTAACCTTTCTTTTCATAGAGCAGTTTAGAAACACTCTATTTCTAAAGTTTGCAAGTGGATATTTGGACCTCTTTGAGGCCTTCGTTGGAAACGGGATTTCTTCATATAACGCTAGACAGAAGAATTCTCAGTAACTTCTTTGTGTTGTGTGTATTCAACTCACAGAGTTGAACCTTTCTTGAGAGAGAGCAGAGTGGAAACACTCTTTTTGTGGAATTTGCTAGTGCAGATTTCAAACGCTTCGAAGACAGTGATAGAAAAGGATATATCTTCGTATTAAAACTAGACAAAATCATTCTCAACAACTACTTTGTGATGTGTGCGTTCAACTCACAGAGTTTAACCTTTCTTTTCATAGAGCAGTTTGGAAACACTCTGTTTGTAAAGCCTGCAAGTGCTTTTTTGGACTTCATTGAGGCCTTCGTTGGAAACGGGATTTCTTCATATAATGCTAGACAGAAGAATTCTCAGTCACTTCTTTGTGTTGTGTGTATTCAAGTCACAGAGTTGAACCTTCCTTTACACAGAGCAGTTTTGAAAAACTCTTTCTGTGGAATTTGCAAGTGGAGATTTCAAGCGATTTGAGGCTAATCTTTGAAATGGAAATATCTTCGTGTAAAAACTACACAGAATCATTCTCAGAAACTGCTTTGTTATGTGTGCGTTCAGCTCACAGAGTTCCACCTTTCTTTTCATAGAGCAGTTTGGAAAGACTCTGTCTGTAAAGTCTGCAAGTGATTACTTGGACCCCTTTGAGGACTTCGTTGGAAGCGGGATTTTTTCATTTACTGCTAGACAGAAGAATTCTCAGTAAATCCTTTGTGTTGTGTGTATTCAACTCACAGAGTGGAACCTTCCTTTATTCAGAGCAGTTTTGAAAAACACTTTTTGTGGAATTTGCAAGTGGAGATTTCAAGCGATTTGACGCCAATCTTAGACATGGAAATATCTTCATATTAAAAGTACACAGAGTCATTCGCAGAAACTAGTTTGTGATGTGTGCCTTCAACTCACGGAGTTTAACCTTTCTTTTCATAGAGCAGTTTGGAAACACTCTATTTGTAAAGTCTGCAAGTGGATATTTGGACCTCTTTGAGGCCTTCGTTGGAAACGGGATTTCTTCATATAACGCTAGACAGAAGAATTCTCAGTAACTTCTTTGTGTTGTGTGTATTCCACTCACAGAGTTGAACCTTTCTTGAGAGAGAGCAGAGTTGAAACACTCTGTTTGTGGAATTTGCTAGTGCAGATTTCAAACGCTTCGAAGACAGTGATAGAAAAGGATATATCTTCGTATTAAAACTAGACAAAATCATTCTCAACAACTACTTTGTGATGTGTGCGTTCAACTCACAGAGTTTAACCTTTCTTTTCATAGAGCAGTTTGGAAACACTCTGTTTGTAAAGCCTGCAAGTGCTTTTTTGGACTTCATTGAGGCCTTCGTTGGAAACGGGATTTCTTCATATAATGCTAGACAGAAGAATTCTCAGTCACTTCTTTGTGTTGTGTGTATTCAAGTCACAGAGTTGAACCTTCCTTTACACAGAGCAGTTTTGAAAAACTCTTTCTGTGGAATTTGCAAGTGGAGATTTCAAGCGATTTGAGGCTAATCTTTGAAATGGAAATATCTTCGTGTAAAAACTACACAGAATCATTCTCAACAACTACTTTGTGATGTGTGCGTTCAACTCACAAAGTTTAACCTTTCTTTTCATAGAGAAGTTTGGAAACACTCTGTTTGTAAAGCCTGCAAGTGCTTTTTTGGACTTCATTGAGGTCTTCTTTGGAAACGGGATTTCTTCATATAATGCTAGACAGAAGAATTCTCAGTAAATCCTTTGTGTTGTGTGTATTCAACTCACAGAGTGGAACCTTCCTTTATTCAGAGCAGTTTTGAAAGACTCTTTTTGTGGAATTTGCAAATGGAGATTTCAAGCGACTTGATGCCAATCTCAGACATGGAAATATCTTCATATTAAAAGTACACAGAGTCATTCGTAGAAACTAGTTTGTGATGTGTGCCTTCAACTCACAGAGTTTAACCTTTCTTTTCATAGAGCAGTTCGGAAACACTCTATTTGTAAAGTCTGCAAGTGGATATTTGGACCTCTTTGAGGCCTTCGTTGGAAACGGGATTTCTTCATATAACGCTAGACAGAAGAATTCTCAGTAACTTCTTTGTGTTGTGTGTATTCAACTCACAGAGTTGAACGTCTCTTTAGAGAGAGCAGAGTTGAAACACTCTTTTTGTGGAATTTGCTACTGCAGATTTCAAACGCTTCGAAGACAGTGATAGAAAAGGATATATCTCCGTATTAAAACTAGACAAAATCATTCTCAGAAAACACTTTGTGATGTGTGTGTTCAACTCACAGAGATTAACCTTTCTTTAATCGAGCAGTTTGGAAATACACTCTTTGTAAGTCTGCAGGTGGATCATTGGCCCTCTTTGAGCCCTTTGTTGGAAACGGGATTTCCTCATATAATGCTAGACAGAAGAATTCTCAGTCACTTCTTTGTGTTGTGTGTATTCAAGTCACAGAGTTGAACCTTCCTTTACACAGAGCAGTTTTGAAAAACTCTTTCTGTGGAATTTGCAAGTGGAGATTTCAAGCGATTTGAGGCTAATCTTTGAAATGGAAATATCTTCGTGTAAAAACTACACAGAATCATTCTCAGAAACTGCTTTGTCATCTGTGCGTTTAGTTCACAGAGTTTCACCTTTCTCTTCATAGAGCAGTTTGGAAAGACTCTGTCTGTAAAGTCTGCAAGTGATTAGTTAGACCCCTTTGAGGCCTTCGTTGGAAGCGGTATTTCTCATTTTCTGCTAGACAGAAGAATTTTCAGTAAATCCTTTGTGTTGTGTGTATTCAACTCACAGAGTGGAACCTTCCTTTATTCAGAGCAGTTTTGAAACACTCTTTTTGTGGAATTTGCAAGTGGAGATTTCAAGCGATTTGACGCCAATCTTAGACATGGAAATATCTTCATATTAAAAGTACACAGAGTCATTCGTAGAAACTAGTTTGTGATGTGTGCCTTCAACTCACAGAGTTTAACCTTTCTTTTCATAGAGCAGTTGGGAAACACTCTAGTTGTAAAGTCTGCAAGTGGATATTTGGACCTCTTTGAGGCCTTCGTTGGAAACGGGATTTCTTCATATAACGCTAGACAGAAGAATTCTCAGTAACTTCTTTGTGTTGTGTGTATTCCACTCACAGAGTTGAACCTTTCTTGAGAGAGAGCAGAGTTGAAACACTCTGTTTGTGGAATTTGCTAGTGCAGATTTCAAACGCTTCGAAGACAGTGATAGAAAAGGATATATCTTCGTATTAAAACTAGACAAAATCATTCTCAGAAAACTCTTTGTGATGTGTGTGTTCAACTCACAGAGTTTAACCTTTCTTTTCATAGAGCAGTTTGGAAACACTCTGTTTGTAAAGCCTGCAAGTGCTTTTTTGGACTTCATTGAGGCCTTCGTTGGAAACGGGATTTCTTCATACAACGCTAGACAGAAGAATTCTCAGTCACTTCTTTGTGTTGTGTGTATTCAAGTCACAGAGTTGAACCTTCCTTTACACAGAGCAGTTTTGAAAAACTCTTTCTGTGGAATTTGCAAGTGGAGATTTCAAGCGATTTGAGGCTAATCTTTGAAATGGAAATATCTTCGTGTAAAAACTACACAGAAATCATTCTCAGAAACTGCTTTGTTATGTGTGCGTTCAGCTCACAGAGTTTCACCTTTCTATTCATAGAGCAGTTTGGAAAGACTCTGTCTGTAAAGTCTGCAAGTGATTACTTGGACCCCTTTGAGGACTTCGTTGGAAGCGGGATTTTTTCATTTACTGCTAGACAGAAGAATTCTCAGTAAATCCTTTGTGTTGTGTGTATTCAACTCACAGAGTGGAACCTTCCTTTATTCAGAGAAGTTTTGAAAAACACTTTTTGTGGAATTTGCAAGTGGAGATTTCAAGCGATTTGACGCCAATCTTAGACATGGAAAAATCTTCATATTAAAAGTACACAGAGTCATTCGCAGAAACTAGTTTGTGATGTGTGCCTTCAACTCACAGAGTTTAAGCTTTCTTTTCATAGAGCAGTTTGGAAACACTCTATTTGTATAGTCTGCAAGTGGATATTTGGACCTCTTTGAGGCCTTCGTTGGAAACGGGATTTCTTCATATAACGGCTAGACAGAAGAATTCTCAGTAACTTCTCCTGTGTTGTTTGTATTCAACACACAGATTTGAACCTTCCTTTAGAGAGAGCAGATTTGAAACACTCTGTTTTTGGAATTTGCAAGTGCAGATTTCAAGCACTTCTAGGCCTATGGCAGAAAAGGAAATATCTTCGTATAAAAACTACACAGAATCATTCTCAACAACTACTTTGTGATGTGTGCGTTCAACTCACAGAGTTTAACCTTTCTTTTCATAGAGCAGTTTGGAAACACTCTGTTTGTAAAGCCTGCAAGTGCTTTTTTGGACTTCATTGAGGCCTTCGTTGGAAACGGGATTTCTTCATAGAACGCTAGACAGAAGAATTCTCAGTCACTTCTTTGTGTTGTGTGTATTCAAGTCACAGAGTTGAACCTTCCTTTACACAGAGCAGTTTTGAAAAACTCTTTCTGTGGAATTTGCAAGTGGAGATTTCAAGCGATTTGAGGCTAATCTTTGAAATGGAAATAGCTTCGTGTAAAAACTACACAGAATCATTGTCAGAAACTGCTTTGTTATGTGTGCGTTCAGCTCACAGAGTTCCACCTTTCTTTTCATAGAGCAGTTTGGAAAGACTCTGTCTGTAAAGTCTGCAAGTGATTACTTGGACCCCTTTGAGGACTTCGTTGGAAGCGGGATTTTTTCATTTACTGCTAGACAGAAGAATTCTCAGTAAATCCTTTGTGTTGTGTGTATTCAACTCACAGAGTGGAACCTTCCTTTATTCAGAGCAGTTTTGAAAAACACTTTTTGTGGAATTTGCAAGTGGAGATTTCAAGCGATTTGACGCCAATCTTAGACATGGAAATATCTTCATATTAAAAGTACACAGAGTCATTCGTAGAAACTAGTTTGTGATGTGTGCCTTCAACTCACAGAGTTTAACCTTTCTTTTCATAGAGCAGTTTGGAAACACTCTATTTGTAAAGTCTGCAAGTGGATATTTGGACCTCTTTGAGGCCATCGTTGGAAAAGGGATTTCTTCATATAACGCTAGACAGAAGAATTCTCAGTAACTTCTTTGTGTTGTTTGTATTCAACTCACAGATTTGAACCTTCCTTTAGAGAGAGCAGATTTGAAACACTCTGTTTTTGGAATTTGCAAGTGCAGATTTCAAGCGCTTCTAGGCCTATGGCAGAAAAGCAAATATCTTCGTATAAAAACTACACAGAATCATTCTCAGAAAACACTTTGTGATGTGTGTGTTCAACTCACAGAGTTTAACCTTTCTTTAATCGAGCAGTTTGGAAATACACTCTTTGTAAGTCTGCAGCTGGATAATTGTCCCTCTATGAGCCCTTCGTTGGAAACGGGATTTCCTCTTATAATGCTAGACAGAAGAATTCTCAGTCACTTCTTTGTGTTGTGTGTATTCAAGTCACAGAGTTGAACCTTCCTTTACACAGAGCAGTTTTGAAAAACTCTTTCTGTGGAATTTGCAAGTGGAGATTTCAAGCGATTTGAGGCTAATCTTTGAAATGGAAATATCTTCGTGTAAAAACTACACAGAATCATTCTCAGAAACTGCTTTGTTATGTGTGCGTTCAGCTCACAGAGTTCCACCTTTCTTTTCATAGAGCAGTTTGGAAAGACTCTGTCTGTAAAGTCTGCAAGTGATTACTTGGACCCCTTTGAGGACTTCGTTGGAAGCGGGATTTTTTCATTTACTGCTAGACAGAAGAATTCTCAGTAAATCCTTTGTGTTGTGTGTATTCAACTCACAGAGTGGAACCTTCCTTTATTCAGAGCACTTTTGAAACACTCTTTTTGTGGAATTTGCAAGTGGAGATTTCAAGCGAATTCACGCCAATCTTAGACATGGAAACATCTTCGTATTAAAAGTACACAGAGTCATTCGCAGAAACTACTTTGTGATGTGTGCCTTCAACTCACAGAGTTTAACCTTTCTTTTCATAGAGCAGTTTGGAAACACTCTATTTGTAAAGTCTGCAAGTGGATATTTGGACCTCTTTGAGGCCTTCGTTGGAAACGGGATTTCTTCATATAACGCTAGACAGAAGAATTCTCAGTAACTTCTTTGTGTTGTGTGTATTCCACTCACAGAGTTGAACCTTTCTTGAGAGAGAGCAGAGTTGAAACACTCTGTTTGTGGAATTTGCTAGTGCAGATTTCAAACGCTTCGAAGACAGTGATAGAAAAGGATATATCTTCGTATTAAAACTAGACAAAATCATTCTCAACAACTACTTTGTGATGTGTGCGTTCAACTCACAGAGTTTAACCTTTCTTTTCATAGAGCAGTTTGGAAACACTCTGTTTGTAAAGTCTGCAGGTGCTTATTTGGACTTCTTTGAGGCCTTCGTTGGAAACGGGATTTCTTCATATAATGCTAGACAGAAGAATTCTCAGTCACTTCTTTGTGTTGTGTGTATTCAAGTCACAGAGTTGAACCTTCCTTTACACAGAGCAGTTTTGAAAAACTCTTTCTGTGGAATTTGCAAGTGGAGATTTCAAGCGATTTGAGGCTAATCTTTGAAATGGAAATATCTTCGTGTAAAAACTACACAGAATCATTGTCAGAAACTGCTTTGTTATGTGTGCGTTCAGCTCACAGAGTTCCACCTTTGTTTTCATAGAGCAGTTTGGAAAGACTCTGTCTGTAAAGTCTGCAAGTGATTACTTGGACCCCTTTGAGGACTTCGTTGGAAGCGGGATTTTTTCATTTACTGCTAGACAGAAGAATTCTCAGTAAATCCTTTGTGTTGTGTGTATTCAACTCACAGAGTGGAACCTTCCTTTATTCAGAGCAGTTTTGAAACACTCTTTTTGTGGAATTTGCAAGTGGAGATTTCAAGCGAATTCACGCCAATCTTAGACATGGAAACATCTTCGTATTAAAAGTACACAGAATCATTCGTAGAAACTAGTTTGTGATGTGTGCCTTCAACTCACAGAGTTTAACCTTTCTTTTCATAGAGCAGTTCGGAAACATTCTATTTGTAAAGTCTGCAAGTGGATATTTGGACCTCTTTGAGGCCTTCGTTGGAAAAGGGATTTCTTCATATAACGCTAGACAGAAGAATTCTCAGTAACTTCTTTGTGTTGTGTGTATTCAACTCACAGAGTTGAACCTTTCTTTAGAGGGAGCAGAGGTGAAACACTCTTTTTGTGGAATTTGCTAGTGTAGATTTCAAACGCTTCGAAGACAGTGATAGAAAAGGATATATCTTCGTATTAAAAGTAGACAAAATCATTCTCAGAAAACTCTTTGTGATGTATGTGTTCAACTCACAGAGTTTAACCTTTCTTTAATCGAGCAGTTTGGAAATACACTCTTTGAAAATCTGCAGGTGGATATTTGGCCCTCTTTGAGCCCTTCGTTGGAAACGGGATTTCCTCATATAATGCTAGACAGAAGAATTCTCAGTAACTTCTTTGTGTTGTTTGTATTCAACACACAGATTTGAACCTTCCTTTAGAGAGAGCAGATTTGAAACACTCTGTTTTTGGAATTTGCAAGTGCAGATTTCAAGCGCTTCTAGGCCTATGGCAGAAAAGGAAATATCTTCGTATAAAAACTACACAGAATCATTCTCAACAACTACTTTGTGATGTGTGCGTTCAACTCACAGAGTTTAACCTTTCTTTTCATAGAGCAGTTTGGAAACACTCTGTTTGTAAAGTCTGCAGGTGCTTATTTGGACTTCTTTGAGGCCTTCGTTGGAAACGGGATTTCTTCATATAATGCTAGACAGAAGAATTCTCAGTCACTTCTTTGTGTTGTGTGTATTCAAGTCACAGAGTTGAACCTTCCTTTACACAGAGCAGTTTTGAAAAACTCTTTCTGTGGAATTTGCAAGTGGAGATTTCAAGCGATTTGAGGCTAATCTTTGAAATGGAAATATCTTCGTGTAAAAACTACACAGAATCATTCTCAGAAACTGCTTTCTTATGTGTGTGTTCAGCTCACAGAGTTCCACCTTTCTTTTCATAGAACAGTTTGGAAAGACTCTGTCTGTAAAGTCTGCAACTGATTACTTGGACCACTTTGAGGACTTCGTTGGAAGCGGGATTTTTTCACTTACTGCTAGACAGAAGAATTCTCAGTAAATCCTTTGTGTTGTGTGTATTCAACTCACAGAGTGGAACCTTCCTTTATTCAGAGCAGTTTTGAAACACTCTTTTTGAGGAATTTGCAAGTGGAGATTTCAAGCGAATTCACGCCAATCTTAGACATGGAAACATCTTCGTATTAAAAGTACACAGAGTCATTCGTAGAAACTAGTTTGTGATGTGTGCCTTCAACTCACAGAGTTTAACCTTTCTTTTCATAGAGCAGTTGGGAAACACTCTATTTGTAAAGTCTGCAAGTGGATATTTGGACCTCTTTGAGGCCTTCGTTGGAAACGGGATTTCTTCATATAACGCTAGACAGAAGAATTCTCAGTAACTTCTTTGTGTTGTTTGTATTCAACTCACAGATTTGAACCTTCCTTTAGAGAGAGCAGATTTGAAACACTCTGTTTTTGGAATTTGCAAGTGCAGATTACAAGCGCTTCTAGGCCTATGGCAGAAAAGGAAATATCTTCGTATAAAAACTACACAGAATCATTCTCAACAACTACTTTGTGATGTGTGCGTTCAACTCACAGAGTTTAACCTTTCTTTTCATAGAGCAGTTTGGAAACACTCTGTTTGTAAAGTCTGCAGGTGCTTATTTGGACTTCTTTGAGGCCTTCGTTGGAAACGGGATTTCTTCATGTAATGCTAGACAGAAGAATTCTCAGTCACTTCTTTGTGTTGTGTGTATTCAAGTCACAGAGTTGAACCTTCCTTTACACAGAGCAGTTTTGAAAAACTCTTTCTGTGGAATTTGCAAGTGGAGATTTCAAGCGATTTGAGGCTAATCTTTGAAATGGAAATATCTTCGTGTAAAAACTACACAGAATCATTCTCAGAAACTGCTTTGTCATCTGTGCGTTCAGTTCACAGAGTTTCACCTTTCTCTTCATAGAGCAGTTTGGAAAGACTCTGTCTGTAAAGTCTGCAAGTGATTAGTTAGACCCCTTTGAGGCCTTCGTTGGAAGCGGGATTTCTCATTTACTGCTAGACAGAAGAATTCTCAGTAAATCCTTTGTGTTGTGTGTATTCAACTCACAGAGTGGAACCTTCCTTTATTCAGAGCAGTTTTGAAACACTCTTTTTGTGGAATTTGCAAGCGGAGATTTCAAGCGAATTCACGCCAATCTTAGACATGGAAACATCTTCGTATTAAAAGTACACAGAGTCATTCGCAGAAACTAGTTTGTGATGTGTGCCTTCAACTCACGGAGTTTAACCTTTCTTTTCATAGAGCAGTTTGGAAACACTCTATTTGTAAAGTCTGCAAGTGGATATTTGGACCTCTTTGAGGCCTTCGTTGGAAACGGGATTTCTTCATATAACGCTAGACAGAAGAATTCTCAGTAACTTCTTTGTGTTGTTTGTATTCAACTCACAGATTTGAACCTTCCTTTGGAGAGAGCAGATTTGAAACACTCTGTTTTTGGAATTTGCAAGTGCAGATTGCAAGCGCTTCTAGGCCTATGGCAGAAAAGGAAATATCTTCGTATAAAAACTACACAGAATCATTCTCAACAACTACTTTGTGATGTGTGCGTTCAACTCACAGAGTTTAACCTTTCTTTTCATAGAGCAGTTTGGAAACACTCTGTTTGTAAAGTCTGCAGGTGCTTATTTGGACTTCTTTGAGGCCTTCGTTGGAAACGGGATTTCTTCATATAATGCTAGACAGAAGAATTCTCAGTCACTTCTTTGTGTTGTGTGTATTCAAGTCACAGAGTTGAACCTTCCTTTACACAGAGCAGTTTTGAAAAACTCTTCCTGTGGAATTTGCAAGTGGAGATTTCAAGCGATTTGAGGCTAATCTTTGAAATGGAAATATCTTCGTGTAAAAACTACACAGAATCATTCTCAGAAACTGCTTTGTTATGTGTGCGTTCAGCTCACAGAGTTCCACCTTTCTTTTCATAGAGCAGTTTGGAAAGACTCTGTCTGTAAAGTCTGCAAGTGATTACTTGGACCCCTTTGAGGACTTCGTTGGAAGCGGGATTTTTTCATTTACTGCTAGACAGAAGAATTCTCAGTAAATCCTTTGTGTTGTGTGTATTCAACTCACAGAGTGGAACCTTCCTTTATTCAGAGCACTTTTGAAACACTCTTTTTGTGGAATTTGCAAGTGGAGATTTCAAGCGAATTCACGCCAATCTTAGACATGGAAACATCTTCGTATTAAAAGTACACAGAGTCATTCGCAGAAACTAGTTTGTGATGTGTGCCTTCAACTCACGGAGTTTAACCTTTCTTTTCATAGAGCAGTTTGGAAACACTCTATTTGTAAAGTCTGCAAGTGGATATTTGGACCTCTTTGAGGCCTTCGTTGGAAACGGGATTTCTTCATATAACGCTAGACAGAAGAATTCTCAGTAACTTCTTTGTGTTGTGTGTATTCAACTCACAGAGTTGAACCTTTCTTGAGAGAGAGCAGAGTTGAAACACTCTGTTTGTGGAATTTGCTAGTGCAGATTTCAAACGCTTCGAAGACAGTGATAGAAAAGGATATATCTTCGTATTAAAACTAGACAAAATCATTCTCAACAACTACTTTGTGATGTGTGCGTTCAACTCACAGAGTTTAACCTTTCTTTTCATAGAGCAGTTTGGAAACACTCTGTTTGTAAAGCCTGCAAGTGCTTTTTTGGACTTCATTGAGGCCTTCGTTGGAAACGGGATTTCTTCATATAATGCTAGACAGAAGAATTCTCAGTCACTTCTTTGTGTTGTGTGTATTCAAGTCACAGAGTTGAACCTTCCTTTACACAGAGCAGTTTTGAAAAACTCTTTCTGTGGAATTTGCAAGTGGAGATTTCAAGCGATTTGAGGCTAATCTTTGAAATGGAAATAGCTTCGTGTAAAAACTACACAGAATCATTCTCAGAAACTGCTTTGTCATCTGTGCGTTCAGTTCACAGAGTTTCACCTTTCTCTTCATAGAGCAGTTTGGAAAGACTCTGTCTGTAAAGTCTGCAAGTGATTAGTTAGACCCCTTTGAGGCCTTCGTTGGAAGCGGGATTTCTCATTTACTGCTAGACAGAAGAATTCTCAGTAAATCCTTTGTGTTGTGTGTATTCAACTCACAGAGTGGAACCTTCCTTTATTCAGAGCAGTTTTGAAACACTCTTTTTGTGGAATTTGCAAGTGGAGATTTCAAGCGATTTGACGCCAATCTTAGACATGGAAATATCTTCATATTAAAAGTACACAGAGTCATTCGCAGAAACTAGTTTGTGATGTGTGCCTTCAACTCAGGGAGTTTAACCTTTCTTTTCATAGAGCAGTTTGGAAACACTCTATTTGTAAAGTCTGCAAGTGGATATTTGGACCTCTTTGAGGCCTTCGTTGGAAACGGGATTTCTTCATAAAACGCTAGACAGAAGAATTCTCAGTAACTTCTTTGTGTTGTTTGTATTCAACTCACAGATTTGAACCTTCCT
This sequence comes from Homo sapiens, assembly GCF_000001405.40. Taxonomy (NCBI): domain Eukaryota; kingdom Metazoa; phylum Chordata; class Mammalia; order Primates; family Hominidae; genus Homo; species Homo sapiens. Next base: position 41,226,405 of record NC_000010.11, read on the forward strand.
TTAGAGAGGGCAGATTTGAAACACTCTGTTTTTATAATTTGCAAGTGCAGATTTCAAGCGCTTCTAGGCCTATGGCAGAAAAGGAAATATCTTCGTATAAAAACTACACAGAATCATTCTCAACAACTACTTTGTGATGTGTGCGTTCAACTCACAGAGTTTAACCTTTCTTTTCATAGAGCAGTTTGGAAACACTCTGTTTGTAAACCCTGCAAGTGCTTTTTTGGACTTCATTGAGGCCTTCGTTGGAAACGGGATTTCTTCATATAATGTTAGACAGAAGAATTCTCAGTCACTTCTTTGTGTTGTGTGTATTCAAGTCACAGAGTTGAACCTTCCTTTAGACAGAGCAGTTTTGAAAAACTCTTTCTGTGGAATTTGCAAGTGGAGATTTCAAGCGATTTGAGGCTAATCTTTGAAATGGAAATATCTTCGTGTAAAAACTACACAGAATCATTGTCAGAAACTGCTTTGTTATGTGTGCGTTCAGCTCACAGAGTTCCACCTTTCTTTTCATAGAGCAGTTTGGAAAGACTCTGTCTGTAAAGTCTGCAAGTGATTACTTGGACCCCTTTGAGGACTTCGTTGGAAGCGGGATTTTTTCATTTACTGCTAGACAGAAGAATTCTCAGTAAATCCTTTGTGTTGTGTGTATTCAACTCACAGAGTGGAACCTTCCTTTATTCAGAGCAGTTTTGAAACACTCTTTTTGTGGAATTTGCAAGTGGAGATTTCAAGCGAATTCACGCCAATCTTAGACATGGAAACATCTTCGTATTAAAAGTACACAGAGTCATTCGCAGAAACTAGTTTGTGATGTGTGCCTTCAACTCACAGAGTTTAACCTTTCTTTTCATAGAGCAGTTTGGAAACACTCTATTTGTAAAGTCTGCAAGTGGATATTTGGACCTCTTTGAGGCCTTCGTTGGAAACGGGATTTCTTCATATAACGCTAGACAGAAGAATTCTCTGTAACTTCTTTGTGTTGTGTGTATTCCACTCACAGAGTTGAACCTTTCTTGAGAGAGAGCAGAGTGGAAACACTCTGTTTGTGGAATTTGCTAGTGCAGATTTCAAACGCTTCGAAGACAGTGATAGAAAAGGATATATCTTCGTATTAAAACTAGACAAAATCATTCTCAGAAAACACTTTGTGATGTGTGTGTTCAACTCACAGAGTTTAACCTTTCTTTAATCGAGCAGTTTGGAAATACACTCTTTGTAAGTCTGCAGCTGGATAATTGTCCCTCTATGAGCCCTTCGTTGGAAACAGGATTTCCTCATATAATGCTAGACAGAAGAATTCTCAGTCACTTCTTTGTGTTGTGTGTATTCAAGTCACAGAGTTGAACCTTCCTTTACACAGAGCAGTTTTGAAAAACTCTTTCTGTGGAATTTGCAAGTGGAGATTTCAAGCGATTTGAGGCTAATCTTTGAAATGGAAATAGCTTCGTGTAAAAACTACACAGAATCATTCTCAGAAACTGCTTTGTCATCTGTGCGTTCAGTTCACAGAGTTTCACCTTTCTCTTCATAGAGCAGTTTGGAAAGACTCTGTCTGTAAATTCTGCAAGTGATTAGTTAGACCCCTTTGAGGCCTTCGTTGGAAGCGGGATTTCTCATTTACTGCTAGATAGAAGAATTCTCAGTAAATCCTTTGTGTTATGTGTATTCAACTCACAGAGTTGAACCTTCCTTTATTCAGAGCAGTTTTGAAACACTCTTTTTCTGGAATTTGCAAGTGGAGATTTCAAGCGACTTGACGCCAATCTTAGACATGGAAATATCTTCATATTAAAAGTACACAGAGTCATTCGCAGAAACTAGTTTGTGATGTGTGCCTTCAACTCACAGAGTTTAACCTTTCTTTTCATAGAGCAGTTTGGAAACACTCTATTTGTAAAGTCTGCAAGTGGATATTTGGACCTCTTTGAGGCCTTCGTTGGAAACGGGATTTCTTCATATAACGCTAGACAGAAGAATTCTCAGTAACTTCTTTGTGTTGTGTGTATTCCACTCACAGAGTTGAACCTTTCTTGAGAGAGAGCAGAGTTGAAACACTCTGTTTGTGGAATTTGCTAGTGCAGATTTCAAACGCTTCGAAGACAGTGATAGAAAAGGATATATCTTCGTATTAAAACTAGACAAAATCATTCTCAACAACTACTTTGTGATGTGTGCGTTCAACTCACAAAGTTTAACCTTTCTTTTCATAGAGCAGTTTGGAAACACTCTGTTTGTAAAGCCTGCAATTGCTTTTTTGGACTTCATTGAGGCCTTCGTTGGAAACGGGATTTCTTCATATAATGCTAGACAGAAGAATTCTCAGTCACTTCTTTGTGTTGTGTGTATTCAAGTCACAGAGTTCAACCTTCCTTTAGACAGAGCAGTTTTGAAAAACTCTTTCTGTGGAATTTGCAAGTGGAGATTTCAAGCGATTTGAGGCTAATCTTTGAAATGGAAATATCTTCGTGTAAAAACTACACAGAATCATTCTCAGTAACTGCTTTGTTATGTGTGCGTTCAGCTCACAGAGTTCCACCTTTCTTTTCATAGAGCAGTTTGGAAAGTCTCTGTCTGTAAAGTCTGCAATTGATTACTTGGACCCCTTTGAGGACTTCGATGGAAGCGGGATTTTTTCATTTACTGCTAGACAGAACAATTCTCATTAAATCCTTTGTGTTGTGTGTATTCAACTCACAGAGTGGAACCTTCCTTTATTCAGAGCAGTTTTGAAACACCCTTTTTGTGGAATTTGCAAGTGGAGATTTCAAGCGATTTCACGCCAATCTTAGACATGGAAATATCTTCGTCTTAAAAGTACACAGAGTCATTCGCAGAAACTAGATTGTGATGTGTGCCTTCAATTCACAGAATTTAACTTTCTTTTCATAGAGCAGTTTGGAAACACTCTATTTGTAAAGTCTGCAAGTGGATATTTCGACCTCTTTGAGGCCTTCATTGGAAACGGGATTTCTTCATATAACGCTAGACAGAAGAATTCTCAGTAACTTCTTTGTGTTGTGTGTATTCAACTCACAGAGTTGAACCTTTCTTTAGAGAGATCAGATTTGAAACACTCTTTTTGTGGAATTTGCTAGTGCAGATTTCAAACGCTTCGAAGACAATGATCGAAAAGGATATATCTTCGTATTAAAACTAGACAAAATCATTCTCAGAAAACACTTTGTGATGTGTGTGTTCAACTCACAGAGTTTAACCTTTCTTTAATCGAGCAGTTTGGAAATACCCTCTTTGTAAAGTCTGCAAGTGGATAATTGTCCCTCTTTGAGACCTTCTTTGGAAACGGGATTTCCTCATATAGTGCTAGACAGAAGAATTCTCAGTCACTTCTTTGTGTTGTGTGTATTCAAGTCACAGAGTTGAACCTTCCTTTAGACAGAGCAGTTTTGAAAAATTCTTTCTGTGTAATTTGCAAGTGGAGATTTCAAGCGATTTGAGGCTAATCTTTGAAATGGAAATATCTTCGTGTAAAAACTACACAGAATCATTCTCAGAAACTGCTTTGTTATGTGTGCGTTCAGCTCACAGAGTTCCACCTTTCTTTTCATAGAGCAGTTTGGAAAGACTCTGTCTGTAAAGTCTGCAAGTGATTACTTGGACCCCTTTGAGGACTTCGTTGGAAGCGGGATTTTTTCATTTACTGCTAGACAGAAGAATTCTCAGTAAATCCTTGGTGTTGTGTGTATTCAACTCACAGAGTTGAACCTTCCTTTATTCAGAGAAGTTTTGAAAAACACTTTTTGTGGAATTTGCAAGTGGAGATTTCAAGCGATTTGACGCCAATCTTAGACGTGGAAATATCTTCATATTAAAAGTACACAGAGTCATTCTTAGAAACTAGTTTGTGAAGTGTGCCTTCAACTCACAGAGTTTAACCTTTCTTTTCATAGAGCAGTTTAGAAACACTCTATTTCTAAAGTCTGCAAGTGGATATTTGGACCTCTTTGAGGCCTTCGTTGGAAACGGGATTTCTTCATATAACGCCAGACAGAAGAATTCTCAGTAACTTCTTTGTGTTGTTTGTATTCAACTCACAGATTTGAACCTTCCTTTGGAGAGAGCAGATTTGAAACACTCTGTTTTTGGAATTTGCAAGTGCAGATTGCAAGCGCTTCTAGGCCTATGGCAGAAAAGGAAATATCTTCGTATAAAAACTACACAGAATCATTCTCAACAACTACTTTGTGATGTGTGCGTTCAACTCACAGAGTTTAACCTTTCTTTTCATAGAGCAGTTTGGAAACACTCTGTTTGTAAAGTCTGCCGGTGCTTATTTGGACTTCTTTGAGGCCTTCGTTGGAAACGGGATTTCTTCATATAATGCTAGACAGAAGAATTCTCAGTCACTTCTTTGTGTTGTGTGTATTCAAGTCACAGAGTTGAACCTTCCTTTACACAGAGCAGTTTTGAAAAACTCTTTCTGTGGAATTTGCAAGTGGAGATTTCAAGCGATTTGAGGCTAATCTTTGAAATGGAAATATCTTCGTGTAAAAACTACACAGAATCATTCTCAGAAACTGCTTTGTTATGTGTGCGTTCAGCTCACAGAGTTCCACCTTTCTTTTCATAGAGCAGTTTGGAAAGACTCTGTCTGTAAAGTCTGCAAGTGATTACTTGGACCCCTTTGAGGACTTCGTTGGAAGCGGGATTTTTTCATTTACTGCTAGACAGAAGAATTCTCAGTAAATCCTTTGTGTTGTGTGTATTCAACTCACAGAGTGGAACCTTCCTTTATTCAGAGCAGTTTTGAAACACTCTTTTTGTGGAATTTGCAAGTGGAGATTTCAAGCGATTTGACGCCAATCTTAGACATGGAAATATCTTCATATTAAAAGTACACAGAGTCATTCGCAGAAACTAGTTTGTGATGTGTGCCTTCAACTCACGGAGTTTAACCTTTCTTTTCATAGAGCAGTTTGGAAACACTCTATTTGTAAAGTCTGCAAGTGGATATTTGGACCTCTTTGAGGCCTTCGTTGGAAACGGGATTTCTTCATATAACGCTAGACAGAAGAATTCTCAGTAACTTCTTTGTGTTGTTTGTATTCAACACACAGATTTGAACCTTCCTTTAGAGAGAGCAGATTTGAAACACTCTGTTTTTGGAATTTGCAAGTGCAGATTTCAAGCGCTTCTAGGCCTATGGCAGAAAAGGAAATATCTTCGTATAAAAACTACACAGAATCATTCTCAACAACTACTTTGTGATGTGTGCGTTCAACTCACAGAGTTTAACCTTTCTTTTCATAGAGCAGTTTGGAAACACTCTGTTTGTAAAGCCTGCAAGTGCTTTTTTGGACTTCATTGAGGCCTTCGTTGGAAACGGGATTTCTTCATATAATGCTAGACAGAAGAATTCTCAGTCACTTCTTTGTGTTGTGTGTATTCAAGTCACAGAGTTGAACCTTCCTTTACACAGAGCAGTTTTGAAAAACTCTTTCTGTGGAATTTGCAAGTGGAGATTTCAAGCGATTTGAGGCTAATCTTTGAAATGGAAATATCTTCGTGTAAAAACTACACAGAATCATTCTCAGAAACTGCTTTGTCATCTGTGCGTTCAGTTCACAGAGTTTCACCTTTCTCTTCATAGAGCAGTTTGGAAAGACTCTGTCTGTAAAGTCTGCAAGTGATTAGTTAGACCCCTTTGAGGCCTTCGTTGGAAGCGGGATTTCTCATTTACTGCTAGACAGAAGAATTCTCAGTAAATCCTTTGTGTTGTGTGTATTCAACTCACAGAGTGGAACCTTCCTTTATTCAGAGCAGTTTTGAAAAACACTTTTTGTGGAATTTGCAAGTGGAGATTTCAAGCGATTTGACGCCAATCTTAGACATGGAAATATCTTCATATTAAAAGTACACAGAGTCATTCGTAGAAACTAGTTTGTGATGTGTGCCTTCAACTCACAGAGTTTAACCTTTCTTTTCATAGAGCAGTTGGGAAACACTCTGTTTGTAAAGTCTGCAAGTGGATATTTGGACCTCTTTGAGGCCTTCGTTGGAAATGGGATTTCTTCATACAACACTAGACAGAAGAATTCTCAGTAACTTCTTTGTGTTGTGTGTATTCAACTCACAGAGTTGAATCTTTCTTTAGAGAGAGCAGAGTTGAAACACTCTGTTTTTGGAATTTGCAAGTGCAGATTTCAAGCGATTCTAGGCCTATGGCAGGAAAGGAAATATCTTCGTATAAAAACTACACAGAATCATTCTCAACAACTACTTTGTGATGTGTGCGTTCAACTCACAAAGTTTAACCTTTCTTTTCATAGAGCAGTTTGGAAACACGCTGTTTGTAAAGCCTGCAAGTGCTTTTTTGGACTTCATTGAGGCCTTCGTTGGAAACGGGATTTCTTCATATAATGCTAGACAGAAGAATTCTCAGTAAATCATTTGTGTTGCGTTTATTCAACTCACAGAGTGGAACCTTCCTTTATTCAGAGCACTTTTGAAACACTCTTTTTGTGGAATTTGCAAGTGGAGATTTCAAGCGATTTGACGCCAATCTTAGACATGGAAATATCTTCATATTAAAAGTACACAGAATCATTCTCAGAATACACTTTGTGATGTGTGTGTTCAACTCACAGAGTTTAACCTTTCTTTAATCAAGCAGTTTGGAAATACACTCTTTGTAAGTCTGCAGGTGCATAATTGGCCCTCTTTGAGCCCTTCGTTGGAAACGGGATTTCCTCATATAATGCTAGACAGAAGAATTCTCAGTAACTTCTTTGTGTTGTTTGTATTCAACTCACAGATTTGAACCTTCCTTTAGAGAGAGCAGATTTGAAACACTCTGTTTTTGGAATTTGCAAGTGCAGATTTCAAGCGCTTCTAGGCCTATGGCAGAAAAGGAAATACCTTCGTATAAAAACTACACAGAATCATTCTCAACAACTACTTTGTGATGTGTGCGTTCAACTCACAGAGTTTAACCTTTCTTTTCATAGAGCAGTTTGGAAACACTCTGTTTGGAAAGTCTGCAGGTGCTTATTTGGACTTCTTTGAGGCCTTCGTTGGAAACGGGATTTCTTCATATAATGCTAGACAGTAGAATTCTCAGTCACTTTTTTGTCTTGTGTGTATTCAAGTCACAGAGTTAAACCTTCTTTTAGACAGAGCAGTTTTGAAAATCTCTTTCTGTGGAATTTGCAAGTGGAGAATTCTAGCGATTTGAGGCTAATCTTTGAAATGGAAATATCTTCGTGTAAAAACTACACAGAATCATTCTCAGAAACTGCTTTGTTATGTGTGCGTTCAGCTCACAGAGTTCCACCTTTCTTTTCATAGAGCAGTTTGGAAAGACTCTGTCTGTAAAGTCTGCAAGTGATTACTTGGACCACTTTGAGGACTTCGTTGGAAGCGGGATTTTTTCATTTACTGCTAGACAGAAGAATTCTCAGTAAATCCTTCGTGTTGTGTGTATTCAACTCACAGAGTGGAACCTTCCTTTATTCAGAGCAGTTTTGAAACACTCTTTTTGTGGAATTTGCAAGTGGAGATTTCAAGCGAATTCACGCCAATCTTAGACATGGAAACATCTTCGTATTAAAAGTACACAGAGTCATTCGCAGAAACTAGTTTGTGATGTGTGCCTTCAACTCACAGAGTTTAAGCTTTCTTTTCATAGAGCAGTTTGGAAACACTCTATTTGTAAAGTCTGCAAGTGGATATTTGGACCTCTTTGAGGCCTTCGTTGGAAACGGGATTTCTTCATATAACGCTAGACAGAAGAATTCTCAGAAACTTCTTTGTGTTGTGTGTATTCCACTCACAGAGTTGAACCTTTCTTGAGAGAGAGCAGAGTTGAAACACTCTGTTTGTGGAATTTGCAAGTGCAGATTGCAAGCGCTTCTAGGCCTATGGCAGAAAAGGAAATATCTTCGTATAAAAACTACACAGAATCATTCTCAACAACTACTTTGTGATGTGTGCGTTCAGCTCACAGAGTATAACCTTTCTTTTCATAGAGCAGTTTGGAAACACTCTGTTTGTAAAGTCTGCAGGTGCTTATTTGGACTTCTTTGAGGCCTTCGTTGGAAACGGGATTTCTTCATATAATGCTAGACAGAAGAATTCTCAGTCACTTCCCTGTGTTGTGTGTATTCAAGTCACAGAGTTGAACCTTCCTTTACACAGAGCAGTTTAGAAAAACTCTTTCTGTGGAATTTGCAAGTGGAGATTTCAAGCGATTTGAGGCTAATCTTTGAAATGGAAATATCTTCGTGTAAAAACTACACAGAATCATTCTCAGAAACTGCTTTGTTATGTGTGCGTTCAGCTCACAGAGTTCCACCTTTCTTTTCATAGAGCAGTTTGGAAAGACTCTGTCTGTAAAGTCTGCAAGTGATTACTTGGACCCCTTTGAGGACTTCGTTGGAAGCGGGATTTTTTCATTTACTGCTAGACAGAAGAATTCTCAGTAAATCCTTTGTGTTGTGTGTATTCAACTCACAGAGTGGAACCTTCCTTTATTCAGAGCAGTTTTGAAAAACACTTTTTGTGGAATTTGCAAGTGGAGATTTCAAGCGATTTGACGCCAATCTGAGACATGGAAATATCTTCATATTAAAAGTACACAGAATCATTCTCAGAAAACACTTTGTGATGTGTGTGTTCAACCCACAGAGTTTAACCTTTCTTTAATTGAGCAGTTTGGAAATACACTTTTTGTAAGTCTGCAGGTGGATAATTGGCCCTCTTTGAGCCCTTCGTTGGAAACGGGATTTCCTCATATAATGCTAGACAGAAGAATTCTCAGTAACTTCTTTGTGTTGTTTGTATTCAACTCACAGATTTGAACCTTCCTTTAGAGAGAGCAGATTTGAAACACTCTGTTTTTGGAATTTGCAAGTGCAGATTTCAAGCGATTCTAGGCCTATGGCAGAAAAGGAAATATCTTCGTATAAAAACTACACAGAATCATTCTCAACAACTACTTTGTGATGTGTGCGTTCAACTCACAGAGTTTAAACTTTCTTTTCATAGAGCAGTTTGGAAACACTCTGTTTGTAAAGCCTGCAAGTGCTTTTTTGGACTTCATTGAGGCCTTCGTTGGAAACGGGATTTCTTCATATAATGCTGGACAGAAGAATTCTCAGTCACTTCTTTGTGTTGTGTGTATTCAAGTCACAGAGTTGAACCTTCCTTTACACAGAGCAGTTTTGAAAAACTCTTTCTGTGGAATTTGCAAGTGGAGATTTCAAGCGATTTGAGGCTAATCTTTGAAATGGAAATATCTTCGTGTAAAAACTACACAGAATCATTGTCAGAAACTGCTTTGTTATGTGTGCGTTCAGCTCACAGAGTTCCACCTTTCTTTTCATAGAGCAGTTTGGAAAGACTCTGTAAAGTCTGCAAGTGATTACTTGGACCCCTTTGAGGACTTCATTGGAAGCGGGATTTTTTCATTTACTGCTAGACAGAAGAATTCTCAGTAAATCCTTTGTGTTGTGTGTATTCAACTCACAGAGTGGAACCTTCCTTTATTCAGAGCAGTTTTGAAACACTCTTTTTGTGGAATTTGCAAGTGGAGATTTCAAGCGATTTGACGCCAATCTTAGACATGGAAATATCTTCATATTAAAAGTACACAGAGTCATTCGCAGAAACTAGTTTGTGATGTGTGCCTTCAACTCACGGAGTTTAACCTTTCTTTTCATAGAGCAGTTTGGAAACACTCTATTTGTAAAGTCTGCAAGTGGATATTTGGACCTCTTTGAGGCCTTCGTTGGAAACGGGATTTCTTCATATAACGCTAGACAGAAGAATTCTCAGTAACTTCTTTGTGTTGTGTGTATTCCACTCACAGAGTTGAACCTTTCTTGAGAGAGAGCAGAGTGGAAACACTCTGTTTGTGGAATTTGCTAGTGCAGATTTCAAACGCTTCCAAGACAGTGATAGAAAAGGATATATCTTCGTATTAAAACTAGACAAAATCATTCTCAGAAAACACTTTGTGATGTGTGTGTTCAACTCACAGAGTTTAACCTTTCTTTAATCGAGCAGTTTGGAAATACACTCTTTGTAAGTCTGCAGGTGGATAATTGGCCCTCTTTGAGCCCTTCGTTGGAAACGGGATTTCCTCATATAATGCTAGACAGAAGAATTCTCAGTCACTTCTTTGTGTTGTGTGTATTCAAGTCACAGCAGTTGAACCTTCCATTACACAGAGCAGTTTTGAAAAACTCTTTCTGTGGAATTTGCAAGTGGAGATGTCAAGCGATTTGAGGCTAATCTTTGAAATGGAAATATCTTCGTGTAAAAACTACACAGAATCATTCTCAGAAACTGCTTTGTCATCTGTGCGTTCAGTTCACAGAGTTTCACCTTTCTCTTCATAGAGCAGTTTGGAAAGACTCTGTCTGTAAAGTCTGCAAGTGATTAGTTAGACCCCTTTGAGGCCTTCGTTGGAAGCGGGATTTCTCATTTACTGCTAGACAGAAGAATTCTCAGTAAATCCTTTGTGTTGTGTGTATTCAACTCACAGAGTGGAACCTTCCTTTATTCAGAGCAGTTTTGAAACACTCTTTTTGTGGAATTTGCAAGTGGAGATTTCAAGCGATTTGACGCCAATCTTAGACATGGAAATATCTTCATATTAAAAGTACACAGAGTCATTCGTAGAAACTAGTTTGTGATGTGTGCCTTCAACTCACAGAGTTTAACCTTTCTTTTCATAGAGCAGTTGGGAAACACTCTATTTGTAAAGTCTGCAAGTGGATATTTGGACCTCTTTGAGGCCTTCGTTGGAAACGGGATTTCTTCATATAACGCTAGACAGAAGAATTCTCAGTAACTTCTTTGTGTTGTGTGTATTCAACTCACAGAGTTGAATCTTCCTTTAGAGAGAGCAGAGTTGAAACACTCTGTTTTTGGAATTTGCAAGTGCAGATTTCAAGCGCTTCTAGGCCTATGGCAGAAAAGGAAATATCTTCGTATAAAAACTACACAGAATCATTCTCAACAACTACTTTGTGATGTGTGCGTTCAACTCACAGAGTTTAACCTTTCTTTTCATAGAGCAGTTTGGAAACACTCTGTTTGTAAAGCCTGCAAGTGCTTTTTTGGACTTCATTGAGGCCTTCGTTGGAAACGGGATTTCTTCATATAATGCTAGACAGAAGAATTCTCAGTCACTTCTTTGTGTTGTGTGTATTCAAGTCACAGAGTTGAACCTTCCTTTAGACAGAGCAGTTTTGAAAAGTTCTTTCTGTGTAATTTGCAAGTGGAGATTTCAAGCGATTTGAGGCTAATCTTTGAAATGGAAATATCTTCGTGTAAAAACTACACAGAATCATTGTCAGAAACTGCTTTGTTATGTGTGCGTTCAGCTCACAGAGTTCCACCTTTCTTTTCATAGAGCAGTTTGGAAAGACTCTGTCTGTAAAGTCTGCAAGTGATTACTTGGACCCCTTTGAGGACTTCGTTGGAAGCGGGATTTTTTCATTTACTGCTAGACAGAAGAATTCTCAGTAAATCCTTTGTGTTGTGTGTATTCAACTCACAGAGTGGAACCTTCCTTTATTCAGAGCAGTTTTGAAACACTCTTTTTGTGGAATTTGCAAGTGGAGATTTCAAGCGAATTCACGCCAATCTTAGACATGGAAACATCTTCGTATTAAAAGTACACAGAGTCATTCGCAGAAACTAGTTTGTGATGTGTGCCTTCAACTCACGGAGTTTAACCTTTCTTTTCATAGAGCAGTTTGGAAACACTCTCTTTGTAAAGTCTGCAAGTGGATATTTGGACCTCTTTGAGGCCTTCGTTGGAAACGGGATTTCTTCATATAACGCTAGACAGAAGAATTCTCAGTAACTTCTTTGTGTTGTGTGTATTCAACTCACAGAGTTGAACCTTTCTTGAGAGAGAGCAGAGTTGAAACACTCTGTTTGTGGAATTTGCTAGTGCAGATTTCAAACGCTTCGAAGACAGTGATAGAAAAGGATATATCTTCGTATTAAAACTAGACAAAAAATCATTCTCAACAACTACTTTGTGATGTGTGCGTTCAACTCACAGAGTTTAACCTTTCTTTTCATAGAGCAGTTTGGAAACACTCTGTTTGTAAAGTCTGCAGGTGCTTATTTGGACTTCTTTGAGGCCTTCGTTGGAAACGGGATTTCTTCATATAATGCTAGACAGAAGAATTCTCAGTCACTTCTTTGTGTTGTGTGTATTCAAGTCACAGAGTTGAACCTTCCTTTACACAGAGCAGTTTTGAAAAACTCTTTCTGTGGAATTTGCAAGTGGAGATTTCAAGCGATTTGAGGCTAATCTTTGAAATGGAAATATCTTCGTGTAAAAACTACACAGAATCATTCTCAGAAACTGCTTTGTTATGTGTGCGTTCAGCTCACAGAGTTCCACCTTTCTTTTCATAGAGCAGTTTGGAAAGACTCTGTCTGTAAAGTCTGCAATTGATTACTTGGACCCCTTTGAGGACTTCGTTGGAAGCGGGATTTTTTCATTTACTGCTAGACAGAAGAATTCTCAGTAAATCCTTTGTGTTGTGTGTATTCACCTCACAGAGTGGAACCTTCCTTTATTCAGAGCACTTTTGAAACACTCTTTTTGTGGAATTTGCAAGTGGAGATTTCAAGCGAATTCACGCCAATCTTAGACATGGAAACATCTTCGTATTAAAAGTACACAGAAGTCATTCGCAGAAACTAGTTTGTGATGTGTGCCTTCAACTCACAGAGTTTAACCTTTCTTTTCATAGAGCAGTTTGGAAACACTCTATTTGTAAAGTCTGCAAGTGGATATTTGGACCACTTTGAGGCCTTCGTTGGAAACGGGATTTCTTCATATAACGCTAGACAGAAGAATTCTCAGTAACTTCTTTGTGTTGTGTGTATTCAACTCACAGAGTTGAACCTTTCTTTAGAGAGAGCAGAGTTGAAACACTCTGTTTTTGGAATTTGCAAGTGCAGATTTCAAGCGATTCTAGGCCTATGGCAGAAAAGGAAATATCTTCGTATAAAAACTACACAGAATCATTCTCAACAACTACTTTGTGATGTGTGCGTTCAACTCACAGAGTTTAACCTTTCTTTTCATAGAGCAGTTTGGAAACACTCTGTTTGTAAAGTCTGCAGGTGCTTATTTGGACTTCTTTGAGGCCTTCGTTGGAAACGGGATTTCTTCATGTAATGCTAGACAGAAGAATTCTCAGTCACTTCTTTGTGTTGTGTGTATTCAAGTCACAGAGTTGAACCTTCCTTTACACAGAGCAGTTTTGAAAAACTCTTTCTGTGGAATTTGCAAGTGGAGATTTCAAGCGATTTGAGGCTAATCTTTGAAATGGAAATATCTTCGTGTAAAAACTACACAGAATCATTCTCAGAAACTGCTTTGTTATGTGTGCGTTCAGCTCACAGAGTTCCACCTTTCTTTTCATAGAGCAGTTTGGAAAGACTCTGTCTGTAAAGTCTGCAAGTGATTACTTGGACCCCTTTGAGGACTTCGTTGGAAGCGGTATTTTTTCATTTACTGCTAGACAGAAGAATTCTCAGTAAATCCTTTGTGTTGTGTGTATTCAACTCACAGAGTGGAACCTTCCTTTATTCAGAGCACTTTTGAAACACTCTTTTTGTGGAATTTGCAAGTGGAGATTTCAAGCGAATTCACGCCAATCTTAGACATGGAAACATCTTCGTATTAAAAGTACACAGAGTCATTCGTAGAAACTAGTTTGTGATGTGTGCCTTCAACTCACAGAGTTTAACCTTTCTTTTCATAGAGCAGTTGGGAAACACTCTATTTGTAAAGTCTGCAAGTGGATATTTGGACCTCTTTGAGGCCTTCGTTGGAAACGGGATTTCTTCATATAACGCTAGACAGAAGAATTCTCAGTAACTTCTTTGTGTTGTGTGTATTCAACTCACAGAGTTGAACCTTTCTTTAGAGGGAGCAGAGGTGAAACACTCTTTTTGTGGAATTTGCTAGTTTAGATTTCAAACGCTTCGAAGACAGTGATAGAAAAGGATATATCTTCGTATTAAAAGTAGACAAAATCATTCTCAGAAAACTCTTTGTGATGTGTGTGTTCAACTCACAGAGTTTAACCTTTCTTTAATCGAGCAGTTTGGAAATACACTCTTTGTAAGTCTGCAGGTGGATATTTGGCCCTCTTTGAGCCCTTCGTTGGAAACGGGATTTCCTCATATAATGCTAGACAGAAGAATTCTCAGTCACTTCTTTGTGTTGTGTGTATTCAAGTCACAGAGTTGAACCTTCTTTTAGACAGAGCAGTTTTGAAAAATTCTTTCTGTGGAATTTGCAAGTGGAGATTTCAAGCGATTTGAGGCTAATCTTTGAAATGGAAATATCTTCGTGTAAAAACTACACAGAATCATTCTCAGAAACTGCTTTGTTATGTGTGCGTTCAGCTCACAGAGTTCCACCTTTCTTTTCATAGAGCAGTTTGGAAAGACTCTGTCTGTAAAGTCTGCAAGTGATTACTTGGACCCCTTTGAGGACTTCGTTGGAAGCGGGATTTTTTCATTTACTGCTAGACAGAAGAATTCTCAGTAAATCCTTTGTGTTGTGTGTATTCAACTCACAGAGTTTAACCTTCCTTTATTCAGAGCACTTTTGAAACACTCTTTTTGTGGAATTTGCAGGTGGAGATTTCAAGCGAATTCACGCCAATCTTAGACATGGAAACATCTTCGTATTAAAAGTACACAGAGTCATTCGCAGAAACTAGTTTGTGATGTGTGCCTTCAACTCACAGAGTTTAAGCTTTCTTTTCATAGAGCAGTTTGGAAACACTCTATTTGTAAAGTCTGCAAGTGGATATTTGGAACTCTTTGAGGCCTTCGTTGGAAACGGGATTTCTTCATATAACGCTAGACAGAAGAACTCTCAGTAACTTCTTTGTGTTGTTTGTATTCAACTCACAGATTTGAACCTTCCTTTGGAGAGAGCAGATTTGAAACACTCTGTTTTTGGAATTTGCAAGTGCAGATTGCAAGCGCTTCTAGGCCTATGGCAGAAAAGGAAATATCTTCGTATAAAAACTACACAGAATCATTCTCAACAACTACTTTGTGATGTGTGCGTTCAACTCACAGAGTTTAACCTTTCTTTTCATAGAGCAGTTTGGAAACACTCTGTTTGTAAAGTCTGCAGGTGCTTATTTGGACTTACTTTGAGGCCTTCGTTGGAAACGGGATTTCTTCATATAATGCTAGACAGAAGAATTCTCAGTCACTTCTTTGTGTTGTGTGCATTCAAGTCACAGAGTTGAACCTTCATTTAGACAGAGCAGTTTTGAAAAACTCTTTCTGTGGAATTTGGAAGTGGAGATTACATGCGATTTAAGGCCAATCTTTGAAATGGAAATATCTCCGTGTAAAAACTAGACAGAATCATTCTCAGAAACTGCTTTGTTATGTGTGCGTTCAGCTCACAGAGTTCCACCTTTCTTTTCATAGAGCAGTTTGGAAAGACTCTGTCTGCAAAGTCTGCAAGTGATTACTTGGACCCCTTTGAGGACTTCGTTGGAAGCGGGATTTTTTCATTTACTGCTAGACAGAAAGAATTCTCAGTAAATCCTTTGTGTTGTGTGTATTCAACTCACAGGAGTGGAACCTTCCTTTGTTCAGAGCACTTTTGAAACACTCTTTTTGTGGAATTTGCAAGTGGAGATTTCAAGCGAATTCACGCCAATCTTAGACATGGAAACATCTTCGTATTAAAAGTACACAGAGTCATTCGCAGAAACTAGTTTGTGATGTGTGCCTTCAACTCACGGAGTTTAACCTTTCTTTTCATAGAGCAGTTTGGAAACACTCTATTTGTAAAGTCTGCAAGTGGATATTTGGACCTCTTTGAGGCCTTCGTTGGAAACGGGATTTCTTCATATAACGCTAGACAGAAGAATTCTCAGTAACTTCTTTGTGTTGTTTGTATTCAACTCACAGATTTGAACCTTCCTTTGGAGAGAGCAGATTTGAAACACTCTGTTTGTGGAATTTGCAAGTGCAGATTGCAAGCGCTTCTAGGCCTATGGCAGAAAAGGAAATATCTTCGTATAAAAACTACACAGAATCATTCTCAACAACTACTTTGTGATGTGTGCGTTCAACTCACAGAGTTTAACGTTTCTTTTCATAGAGCAGTTTGGAAACACTCTGTTTGTAAACCCTGCAAGTGCTTTTTTGGACTTCATTGAGGCCTTCGTTGGAAACGGGATTTCTTCATATAATGCTAGACAGAAGAATTCTCAGTCACTTCTTTGTGTTGTGTGTATTCAAGTCACAGAGTTGAACCTTCCTTTACACAGAGCAGTTTTGAAAAACTCTTTCTGTGGAATTTGCAAGTGGAGATTTCAAGCGATTTGAGGCTAATCTTTGAAATGGAAATATCTTCGTGTAAAAACTACACAGAATCATTCTCAGAAACTTCTTTGTTATGTGTGCGTTCAGCTCACAGAGTTCCACCTTTCTTTTCATAGAGCAGTTTGGAAAGACTCTGTCTGTAAAGTCTGCAAGTGATTACTTGGACCCCTTTGAGGACTTCGTTGGAAGCGGGATTTTTTCATTTACTGCTAGACAGAAGAATTCTCAGTAAATCCTTTGTGTTGTGTGTATTCAACTCACAGAGTGGAACCTTCCTTTATTCAGAGCAGTTTTGAAAAACACTTTTTGTGGAATTTGCAAGTGGAGATTTCAAGCGATTTGACGCCAATCTTAGACATGGAAATATCTTCATATTAAAAGTACACAGAGTCATTCGCAGAAACTAGTTTGAGATGTGTGCCTTCAACTCACGGAGTTTAACCTTTGTTTTCATAGAGCAGTTTGGAAACACTCTATTTGTAAAGTCTGCAAGTGGATATTTGGACCTCTTTGAGGCCTTCGTTGGAAACGGGATTTCTTCATATAACGCTAGACAGAAGAATTCTCAGTAACTTCTTTGTGTTGTGTGTATTCAACTCACAGAGTTGAACCTTTCTTTAGAGAGAGCAGAGTTGAAACACTCTGTTTTTGGAATTTGCAACTGCAGATTTCAAGCGATTCTAGGCCTATGGCAGAAAAGGAAATATCTTCGTATAAAAACTACACAGAATCATTCTCAACAACTACTTTGTGATGTGTGCGTTCAACTCACAGAGTTTAACCTTTCTTTTCATAGAGCAGTTATGAAACACTCTGTTTGTAAAGCCTGCAAGTGCTTTTTTGGACTTCATTGAGGCCTTCGTTGGAAACGGGATTTCTTCATATAATGCTAGACAGAAGAATTCTCAGTCACTTCTTTGTGTTGTGTGTATTCAAGTCACAGAGTTGAACCTTCCTTTACACAGAGCAGTTTTGAAAAACTCTTTCTGTGGAATTTGCAAGTGGAGATTTCAAGCGATTTGAGGCTAATCTTTGAAATGGAAATATCTTCGTGTAAAAACTACACAGAATCATTCTCAGAAACTGCTTTGTCATCTGTGCGTTCAGTTCACAGAGTTTCACCTTTCTCTTCATAGAGCAGTTTGGAAAGACTCTGTCTGTAAAGTCTGCAAGTGATTAGTTAGACCCCTTTGAGGCCTTCGTTGGAAGCGGGATTTCTCATTTACTGCTAGACAGAAGAATTCTCAGTAAATCCTTTGTGTTGTGTGTATTCAACTCACAGAGTGGAACCTTCCTTTATTCAGAGCAGTTATGAAACACTCTTTTTGTGGAATTTGCAAGTGGAGATTTCAAGCGAATTCACGCCAATCTTAGACATGGAAACATCTTCGTATTAAAAGTACACAGAAATCATTCGTAGAAACTAGTTTGTGATGTGTGCCTTCAACTCACAGAGTTTAACCTTTCTTTTCATAGAGCAGTTCGGAAACATTCTATTTGTAAAGTCTGCAAGTGGATATTTGGACCTCTTTGAGGCCTTCGTTGGAAAAGGGATTTCTTCATATAACGCTAGACAGAAGAATTCTCAGTAACTTCTTTGTGTTGTGTGTATTCAACTCACAGAGTTGAACCTTTCTTGAGAGAGAGCAGAGTTGAAACACTCTGTTTGTGGAATTTGCTAGTGCAGATTTCAAACGCTTCGAAGACAGTGATAGAAAAGGATATATCTTCGTATTAAAACTAGACAAAATCATTCTCAGAAAACTCTTTGTGATGTGTGTGTTCAACTCACAGAGTTTAACCTTTCTTTAATCGAGCAGTTTGGAAATACACTCTTTGTAAGTCTGCAGGTGGATATTTGGCCCTCTTTGAGCCCTTCGTTGGAAACGGGATTTCCTCATATAATGCTAGACAGAAGAATTCTCAGTCACTTCTTTGTGTTGTGTGTATTCAAGTCACAGAGTTGAACCTTCCTTTACACAGAGCAGTTTTGAAAAACTCTTTCTGTGGAATTTGCAAGTGGAGATTTCAAGCGATTTGAGGCTAATCTTTGAAATGGAAATAGCTTCGTGTAAAAACTACACAGAAATCATTCTCAGAAACTGCTTTGTTATGTGTGCGTTCAGCTCACAGAGTTCCATCTTTCTTTTCATAGAGCAGTTTGGAAAGACTCTGTCTGTAAAGTCTGCAAGTGATTACTTGGACCCCTTTGAGGACTTCGTTGGAAGCGGGATTTTTTCATTTACTGCTAGAAAGAAGAATTCTCAGTAAATCCTTTGTGTTGTGTGTATTCAACTCACAGAGTGGAACCTTCCTTTATTCAGAGCAGTTTTGAAACACTCTTTTTGTGGAATTTGCAAGTGGAGATTTCAAGCGATTTGACGCCAATCTTAGACATGGAAATATCTTCATATTAAAAGTACACAGAGTCATTCGCAGAAACTAGTTTGTGATGTGTGCCTTCAACTCACAGTGTTTAACCTTTCTTTTCATAGAGCAGTTTGGAAACACTCTATTTGTAAAGTCTGCAAGTGGATATTTGGACCACTTTGAGGCCTTCGTTGGAAACGGGATTTCTTCATATAACGCTAGACAGAAGAATTCTCAGTAACTTCTTTGTGTTGTGTGTATTCAACTCACAGAGTTGAACCTTTCTTGAGAGAGAGCAGAGTTGAAACACTCTTTTTGTGGAATTTGCTAGTGCAGATTTCAAACGCTTCGAAGACAGTGATAGAAAAGGATATATCTTCGTATTAAAACTAGACAAAATCATTCTCAGAAAACACTTTGTGATGTGTGTGTTCAACTCACAGAGTTTAACCTTTCTGTAATCGAGCAGTTTGGAAATACACTCTTTGTAAGTCTGCAGGTGGATAATTGTCCCTCTATGAGCCCTTCGTTGGAAACGGGATTTCCTCATATAATGCTAGACAGAGAGATTCTCAGTCACTTCTTTGTGTTGTGTGTATTCAAGTCACAGAGTTGAACCTTCCTTTACACAGAGCAGTTTTGAAAAACTCTTTCTGTGGAATTTGCAAGTGGAGATTTCAAGCGATTTGAGGCTAATCTTTGAAATGGAAATATCTTCGTGTAAAAACTACACAGAATCATTGTCAGAAACTGCTTTGTTATGTGTGCGTTCAGCTCACAGAGTTCCACCTTTCTTTTCATAGAGCAGTTTGGAAAGACTCTGTCTGTAAAGTCTGCAAGTGATTACTTGGACCCCTTTGAGGACTTCGTTGGAAGCGGGATTTTTTCATTTACTGCTAGACAGAAGAATTCTCAGTAAATCCTTTGTGTTGTGTGTATTCAACTCACAGAGTGGAACCTTCCTTTATTCAGAGCAGTTTTGAAACACTCTTTTTGTGGAATTTGCAAGTGGAGATTTCAAGCGAATTCACGCCAATCTTAGACATGGAAACATCTTCGTATTAAAAGTACACAGAATCATTCGTAGAAACTAGTTTGTGATGTGTGCCTTCAACTCACAGAGTTTAACCTTTCTTTTCATAGAGCTGTTCGGAAACACTCTATTTGTAAAGTCTGCAAGTGGATATTTGGACCTCTTTGAGGCCTTCGTTGGAAAAGGGATTTCTTCATATAACGCTAGACAGAAGAATTCTCAGTAACTTCTTTGTTTTGTTTGTATTCAACTCACAGATTTGAACCTTCCTTTAGAGAGAGCAGATTTGAAACACTCTGTTTTTGGAATTTGCAAGTGCAGATTTCAAGCGCTTCTAGGCCTATGGCAGAAAAGGAATTATCTTCGTATAAAAACTACACAGAATCATTCTCAACAACTACTTTGTGATGTGTGCGTTCAACTCACAGAGTTTAACCTTTCTTTTCATAGAGCAGTTTGGAAACACTCTGTTTGTAAAGTCTGCAGGTGCTTATTTGGACTTCTTTGAGGCCTTCGTTGGAAACGGGATTTCTTCATATAATGCTAGACAGAAGAATTCTCAGTCACTTCTTTGTGTTGTGTGTATTCAAGTCACAGAGTTGAACCTTCCTTTACACAGAGCAGTTTTGAAAAACTCTTTCTGTGGAATTTGCAAGTGGAGATTTCAAGCGATTTGAGGCTAATCTTTGAAATGGAAATATCTTCGTGTAAAAACTACACAGAATCATTCTCAGAAACTGCTTTGTTATGTGTGCGTTCAACTCACAGAGTTCCACCTTTCTTTTCATAGAGCAGTTTGGAAAGACTCTGTCTGTAAAGTCTGCAAGTGATTACTTGGACCCCTTTGAGGACTTCGTTGGAAGCGGGATTTTTTCATTTACTGCTAGACAGAAGAATTCTCAGTAAATCCTTTGTGTTGTGTGTATTCAACTCACAGAGTGGAACCTTCCTTTATTCAGAGCAGTTTTGAAACACTCTTTTTGTGGAATTTGCAAGTGGAGATTTCAAGCGAATTCACGCCAATCTTAGACATGGAAACATCTTCGTATTAAAAGTACACAGAGTCATTCGTAGAAACTAGTTTGTGATGTGTGCCTTCAACTCACAGAGTTTAACCTTTCTTTTCATAGAGCAGTTTGGAAACACTCTATTTGTAAAGTCTGCAAGTGGATATTTGGACCTCTTTGAGGCCTTCGTTGGAAACGGGATTTCTTCATACAACGCTAGACAGAAGAATTCTCAGTAACTTCTTTGTGTTGTGTGTATTCAACTCACAGAGTTGAACCTTTCTTTAGAGGGAGCAGAGGTGAAACACTCTTTTTGTGGAATTTGCTAGTGTAGATTTCAAACGCTTCGAAGACAGTGATAGAAAAGGATATATCTTCGTATTAAAAGTAGACAAAATCATTCTCAACAACTACTTTGTGATGTGTGCGTTCAACTCACAGAGTTTAACCTTTCTTTTCATAGAGCAGTTTGGAAACACTCTGTTTGTAAAGTCTGCAGGTGCTTATTTGGACTTCTTTGAGGCCTTCGTTGGAAACGGGATTTCTTCATGTAATGCTAGACAGAAAGAATTCTCAGTCACTTCTTTGTGTTGTGTGTATTCAAGTCACAGAGTTGAACCTTCCTTTACACAGAGCAGTTTTGAAAAACTCTTTCTGTGGAATTTGCAAGTGGAGATTTCAAGCGATTTGAGGCTAATCTTTGAAATGGAAATAGCTTCGTGTAAAAACTACACAGAATCATTCTCAGAAACTGCTTTGTTATGTGTGCGTTCAGCTCACAGAGTTCCACCTTTCTTTTCATAGAGCAGTTTGGAAAGACTCTGTCTGTAAAGTCTGCAAGTGATTACTTGGACCCCTTTGAGGACTTCGTTGGAAGCGGGATTTTTTCATTTACTGCTAGACAGAAGAATTCTCAGTAAATCCTTTGTGTTGTGTGTATTCAACTCACAGAGTGGAACCTTCCTTTATTCAGAGCAGTTTTGAAACACTCTTTTTGTGGAATTTGCAAGTGGAGATTTCAAGCGAATTCACGCCAATCTTAGACATGGAAACATCTTCGTATTAAAAGTACACAGAGTCATTCGCAGAAACTAGTTTGTGATGTGTGCCTTCAACTCACGGAGTTTAACCTTTCTTTTCATAGAGCAGTTTGGAAACACTCTATTTGTAAAGTCTGCAAGTGGATATTTGGACCTCTTTGAGGCCTTCGTTGGAAACGGGATTTCTTCATATAACGCTAGACAGAAGAATTCTCAGTAACTTCTTTGTGTTGTTTGTATTCAACACACAGATTTGAACCTTCCTTTAGAGAGAGCAGATTTGAAACACTCTGTTTTTGGAATTTGCAAGTGCAGATTTCAAGCGCTTCTAGGCCTATGGCAGAAAAGGAAATATCTTCGTATAAAAACTACACAGAATCATTCTCAACAACTACTTTGTGATGTGTGCGTTCAACTCACAGAGTTTAACCTTTCTTTTCATAGAGCAGTTTGGAAACACTCTGTTTGTAAAGTCTGCAGGTGCTTATTTGGACTTCTTTGAGGCCTTCGTTGGAAACGGGATTTCTTCATATAATGCTAGACAGAAGAATTCTCAGTAACTTCTTTGTGTTGTGTGTATTCCACTCACAGAGTTGAACCTTTCTTGAGAGAGAGCAGAGTTGAAACACTCTGTTTGTGGAATTTGCTAGTGCAGATTTCAAACGCTTCGAAGACAGTGATAGAAAAGGATATATCTTCGTATTAAAACTAGACAAAATCATTCTCAGAAAACACTTTGTGATGTGTGTGTTCAACTCACAGAGTTTAACCTTTCTTTAATCGAGCAGTTTGGAAATACACTCTTTGTAAGTCTGCAGCTGGATAATTGTCCCTCTATGAGCCCTTCGTTGGAAACAGGATTTCCTCTTATAATGCTAGACAGAAGAATTCTCAGTCACTTCTTTGTGTTGTGTGTATTCAAGTCACAGAGTTGAACCTTCCTTTAGACAGAGCAGTTTTGAAAAATTCTTTCTGTGGAGTTTGCAAGTGGAGATTTCAAGCGATTTGAGGCTAATCTTTGAAATGGAAATATCTTCGTGTAAAAACTACACAGAATCATTCTCAGAAACTGCTTTGTTATGTGTGCGTTCAGCTCACAGAGTTCCACCTTTCTTTTCATAGAGCAGTTTGGAAAGACTCTGTCTGTAAAGTCTGCAAGTGATTACTTGGACCCCTTTGAGGACTTCGTTGGAAGCGGGATTTTTTCATTTACTGCTAGACAGAAGAATTCTCAGTAAATTCTTTGTGTTGTGTGTATTCAACTCACAGAGTGGAACCTTCTTTTATTCAGAGCAGTTTTGAAACACTCTTTTTGTGGAATTTGCAAGTGGAGATTTCAAGCGATTTGACGCCAATCTTAGACATGGAAATATCTTCATATTAAAAGTACACAGAATCATTCTCAGGAAAACACTTTGTGATGTGTGTGTTCAACTCACAGAGTTTAACCTTTCTTTAATCGAGCAGTTTGGAAATACACTCTTTGTAAGTCTGCAGCTGGATAATTGTCCCTCTATGAGCCCTTCGTTGGAAACGGGATTTCCTCTTATAATGCTAGACAGAAGAATTCTCAGTAACTTCTTTGTGTTGTTTGTATTCAACTCACAGATTTGAACCTTCCTTTAGAGAGAGCAGATTTGAAACACTCTGTTTTTGGAATTTGCAAGTGCAGATTGCAAGCGCTTCTAGGCCTATGGCAGAAAAGGAAATATCTTCGTATAAAAACTACACAGAATCATTCTCAACAACTACTTTGTGATGTGTGCGTTCAACTCACAGAGGTTAACCTTTCTTTTCATAGAGCAGTTTGGAAACACTCTGTTTGTAAAGCCTGCAAGTGCTTTTTTGGACTTCATTGAGGCCTTCGTTGGAAACGGGATTTCTTCATATAATGCTAGACAGAAGAATTCTCAGTCACTTCTTTGTGTTGTGTGTATTCAAGTCACAGAGTTGAACCTTCCTTTAGACAGAGCAGTTTTGAAAAATTCTTTCTGTGGAGTTTGCAAGTGGAGATTTCAAGCGATTTGAGGCTAATCTTTGAAATGGAAATATCTTCGTGGAAAAACTACACAGAATCATTCTCAGAAACTGCTTTGTCATCTGTGCGTTCAGTTCACAGAGTTTCACCTTTCTCTTCATAGAGCAGTTTGGAAAGACTCTGTCTGTAAAGTCTGCAAGTGATTAGTTAGACCCCTTTGAGGCCTTCGTTGGAAGCGGGATTTCTCATTTACTGCTAGACAGAAGAATTCTCAGTAAATCCTTTGTGTTGTGTGTATTCAACTCACAGAGTGGAACCTTCCTTTATTCAGAGCAGTTTTGAAAAACACTTTTTGTGGAATTTGCAAGTGGAGATTTCAAGCGATTTGACGCCAATCTTAGACATGGAAATATCTTCATATTAAAAGTACACAGAGTCATTCGTAGAAACTAGTTTGTGATGTGTGCCTTCAACTCACAGAGTTTAACCTTTCTTTTCATAGAGCAGTTGGGAAACACTCTATTTGTAAAGTCTGCAAGTGGATATTTGGACCTCTTTGAGGCCTTCGTTGGAAACGGGATTTCTTCATATAACGCTAGACAGAAGAATTCTCAGTAACTTCTTTGTGTTGTGTGTATTCCACTCACAGAGTTGAACCTTTCTTGAGAGAGAGCAGAGTTGAAACACTCTGTTTGTGGAATTTGCTAGTGCAGATTTCAAACGCTTCGAAGACAGTGATAGAAAAGGATATATCTTCGTATTAAAACTAGACAAAATCATTCTCAGAAAACTCTTTGTGATGTGTGTGTTCAACTCACAGAGTTTAACCTTTCTTTAATCGAGCAGTTTGGAAATACACTCTTTGTAAGTCTGCAGGTGGATATTTGGCCCTCTTTGAGCCCTTCGTTGGAAACGGGATTTCCTCATATAATGCTAGACAGAAGAATTCTCAGTCACTTCTTTGTGTTGTGTGTATTCAAGTCACAGAGTTGAACCTTCCTTTAGACAGAGCAGTTTTGAAAAATTCTTTCTGTGGAGTTTGCAAGTGGAGATTTCAAGCGATTTGAGGCTAATCTTTGAAATGGAAATATCTTCGTGTAAAAACTACACAGAATCATTGTCAGAAACTGCTTTGTTATGTGTGCGTTCAGCTCACAGAGTTCCACCTTTCTTTTCATAGAGCAGTTTGGAAAGACTCTGTCTGTAAAGTCTGCAAGTGATTACTTGGACCCCTTTGAGGACTTCGTTGGAAGCGGGATTTTTTCATTTACTGCTAGACAGAAGAATTCTCAGTAAATCCTTTGTGTTGTGTGTATTCAACTCACAGAGTGGAACCTTCCTTTATTCAGAGCAGTTTTGAAACACTCTTTTTGTGGAATTTGCAAGTGGAGATTTCAAGCGAATTCACGCCAATCTTAGACATGGAAACATCTTCGTATTAAAAGTACACAGAATCATTCGTAGAAACTAGTTTGTGATGTGTGCCTTCAACTCACAGAGTTTAACCTTTCTTTTCATAGAGCAGTTCGGAAACATTCTATTTGTAATGTCTGCAAGTGGACATTTGGACCTCTTTGAGGCCTTCGTTGGAAAAGGGATTTCTTCATATAACACTAGACAGAAGAATTCTCAGTAACTTCTTTGTGTTGTGTGTATTCAACTCACAGAGTTGAACCTTTCTTTAGAGAGAACAGAGTTGAAACACTCTGTTTTTGGAATTTGCAAGTGCAGATTTCAAGTGATTCTAGGCCTATGGCAGAAAAGGAAATATCTTCGTAGAAAAACTACACAGAATCATTCTCAACAACTACTTTGTGATGTGTGCGTTCAACTCACAGAGTTTAACCTTTCTTTTCATAGAGCAGTTTGGAAACACTCTGTTTGTAAAGTCTGCAGGTGCTTATTTGGACTTCTTTGAGGCCTTCGTTGGAAACGGGATTTCTTCATATAATGCTAGACAGAAGAATTCTCAGTCACTTCTTTGTGTTGTGTGTATTCAAGTCACAGAGTTGAACCTTCCTTTACACAGAGCAGTTTTGAAAAACTCTTTTTGTGGAATTTGCAAGTGGAGATTTCAAGCGAATTCACGCCAATCTTAGACATGGAAACATCTTCGTATTAAAAGTACACAGAGTCGTTCGCAGAAACTAGTTTGTGATGTGTGCCTTCAACTCACAGAGTTTAAGCTTTCTTTTCATAGAGCAGTTTGGAAACACTCTATTTGTAAAGTCTGCAAGTGGATATTTGGACCTCTTTTAGGCCTTCGTTGGAAACGGGATTTCTTCATATAACGCTAGACAGAAGAATTCTCAGTAACTTCTTTGTGTTGTTTGTATTCAACTCACAGATTTGAACCTTCCTTTGGAGAGAGCAGATTTGAAACACTCTGTTTTTGGAATTTGCAAGTGCAGATTGCAAGCGCTTCTAGGCCTATGGCAGAAAAGGAAATATCTTCGTATAAAAACTACACAGAATCATTCTCAACAACTACTTTGTGATGTGTGCTTTCAACTCACAGAGTTTAACCTTTCTTTTCATAGAGCAGTTTGGAAACACTCTGTTTGTAAAGTCTGCAGGTGCTTATTTGGACTTCTTTGAGGCCTTCGTTGGAAACGGGATTTCTTCATATAATGCTAGACAGAAGAATTCTCAGTCACTTCTTTGTGTTGTGTGTATTCAAGTCACAGAGTTGAACCTTCCTTTACAGAGAGCAGTTTTGAAAAACTCTTTCTGTGGAATTTGCAAGTGGAGATTTCAAGCGATTTGAGGCTAATCTTTGAAATGGAAATATCTTCGTGTAAAAACTACACAGAATCATTCTCAGAAACTGCTTTGTTATGTGTGCGTTCAGCTCACAGAGTTCCACCTTTGTTTTCATAGAGCAGTTTGGAAAGACTCTGTCTGTAAAGTCTGCAAGTGATTACTTGGACCCCTTTGAGGACTTCGTTGGAAGCGGGATTTTTTCATTTACTGCTAGACAGAAGAATTCTCAGTAAATCCTTTGTGTTGTGTGTATTCAACTCACAGAGTGGAACCTTCCTTTATTCAGAGCAGTTTTGAAAAACACTTTTTGTGGAATTTGCAAGTGGAGATTTCAAGCGATTTGACGCCAATCTTAGACATGGAAATATCTTCATATTAAAAGTACACAGAGTCATTCGCAGAAACTAGTTTGTGATGTGTGCCTTCAACTCACAGAGTTTAACCTTTCTTTTCATAGAGCATTTTGGAAACACTCTATTTGTAAAGTCTGCAAGTGGATATTTGGACCTCTTTGAGGCCTTCGTTGGAAACGGGATTTCTTCATATAACGCTAGACAGAAGAATTCTCAGTAACTTCTTTGTGTTGTGTGTATTCCACTCACAGAGTTGAACCTTTCTTGAGAGAGAGCAGAGTTGAAACACTCTTTCTGTGGAATTTGCTAGTGCAGATTTCAAACGCTTCGAAGACAGTGATAGAAAAGGATATATCTTCGTATTAAAACTAGACAAAATCATTCTCAACAACTACTTTGTGATGTGTGCGTTCAACTCACAGAGTTTAACCTTTCTTTTCATAGAGCAGTTTGGAAACACTCTGTTTGTAAAGTCTGCAGGTGCTTATTTGGACTTCTTTGAGGCCTTCGTTGGAAACGGGATTTCTTCATATAATGCTAGACAGAAGAATTCTCAGTCACTTCTTTGTGTTGTGTGTATTCAAGTCACAGAGTTGAACCTTCCTTTACACAGAGCAGTTTTGAAAAACTCTTTCTGTGGAATTTGCAACTGGAGATTTCAAGCGATTTGAGGCTAATCTTTGAAATGGAAATATCTTCGTGTAAAAACTACACAGAATCATTCTCAGAAACTGCTTTGTTATGTGTGCGTTCAGCTCACAGAGTTCCACCTTTCTTTTCATAGAGCAGTTTGGAAAGACTCTGTCTGTAAAGTCTGCAAGTGATTACTTGGACCCCTTTGAGGACTTCGTTGGAAGCGGGATTTTTTCATTTACTGCCAGACAGAAGAATTCTCAGTAAATCCTTTGTGTTGTGTGTACTCAACTCACAGAGTGGAACCTTCCTTTATTCAGAGCAGTTTTGAAACACTCTTTTTGTGGAATTTGCAAGTGGAGATTTCAAGCGAATTCACGCCAATCTTAGACATGGAAACATCTTCGTATTAAAAGTACACAGAGTCATTCGCAGAAACTAGTTTGTGATGTGTGCCTTCAACTCACGGAGTTTAACCTTTCTTTTCATAGAGCAGTTTGGAAACACTCTATTTGTAAAGTCTGCAAGTGGATATTTGGACCTCTTTGAGGCCTTCGTTGGAAACGGGATTTCTTCATATAACGCTAGACAGAAGAATTCTCAGTAACTTCTTTGTGTTGTGTGTATTCCACTCACAGAGTTGAACCTTTCTTGAGAGAGAGCAGAGTTGAAACACTCTGTTTGTGGAATTTGCTAGTGCAGATTTCAAACGCTTCGAAGACAGTGATAGAAAAGGATATATCTTCGTATTAAAACTAGACAAAATCATTCTCAACAACTACTTTGTGATGTGTGCGTTCAGCTCACAGAGTTTAACCTTTCTTTTCATAGAGCAGTTTGGAAACACTCTGTTTGTAAAGTCTGCAGGTGCTTATTTGGACTTCTTTGAGGCCTTCGTTGGAAACGGGATTTCTTCATATAATGCTAGACAGAAGAATTCTCAGTCACTTCTTTGTGTTGTGTGTATTCAGGTCACAGAGTTGAACCTTCCTTTAGACAGAGCAGTTTTGAAAAATTCTTTCTGTGGAGTTTGCAAGTGGAGATTTCAAGCGATTTGAGGCTAATCTTTGAAATGGAAATATCTTCGTGTAAAAACTACACAGAATCATTCTCAGAAACTGCTTTGTCACCTGTGCGTTCAGTTCACAGAGTTTCACCTTTCTCTTCATAGAGCAGTTTGGAAAGACTCTGTCTGTAAAGTCCGCAAGTGATTAGTTAGACCCCTTTGAGGCCTTCGTTGGAAGCGGGATTTCTCATTTACTGCTAGACAGAAGAATTCTCAGTAAATCCTTTGTGTTGTGTGTATTCAACTCACAGAGTGGAACCTTCCTTTATTCAGAGCAGTTTTGAAAAACACTTTTTGTGGAATTTCCAAGTGGAGATTTCAAGCGATTTGACGCCAATCTTAGACATGGAAATATCTTCATATTAAAAGTACACAGAGTCATTCGCAGAAACTACTTTGTGATGTGTGCCTTCAACTCACAGAGTTTAACCTTTCTTTTCATAGAGCAGTTTGGAAACACTCTATTTGTAAAGTCTGCAAGTGGATATTTGGACCTCTTTGAGGCCTTCGTTGGAAACGGGATTTCTTCATATAACGCTAGACAGAAGAATTCTCAGTAACTTCTTTGTGTTGTTTGTATTCAACACACAGATTTGAACCTTCCTTTAGAGAGAGCAGATTTGAAACACTCTGTTTTTGGAATTTGCAAGTGCAGATTTCAAGCGCTTCTAGGCCTATGGCAGAAAAGGAAATATCTTCGTATAAAAACTACACAGAATCATTCTCAACAACTACTTTGTGATGTGTGCGTTCAACTCACAGAGTTTAACCTTTCTTTTCATAGAGCAGTTTGGAAACACTCTGTTTGTAAAGCCTGCAAGTGCTTTTTTGGACTTCATTGAGGCCTTCGTTGGAAACGGGATATCTTCATACAACGCTAGACAGAAGAATTCTCAGTCACTTCTTTGTGTTGTGTGTATTCAAGTCACAGAGTTGAACCTTCCTTTACACAGAGCAGTTTTGAAAAACTCTTTCTGTGGAATTTGCAAGTGGAGATTTCAAGCGATTTGAGGCTAATCTTTGAAATGGAAATAGCTTCGTGTAAAAACCACACAGAAATCATTCTCAGAAACTGCTTTGTTATGTGTGCGTTCAGCTCACAGAGTTCCACCTTTCTTTTCATAGAGCAGTTTGGAAAGACTCTGTCTGTAAAGTCTGCAAGTGATTACTTGGACCCCTTTGAGGACTTCGTTGGAAGCGGGATTTTTTCATTTACTGCTAGACAGAAGAATTCTCAGTAAATCCTTTGTGTTGTGTGTATTCAACTCACAGAGTGGAACCTTCCTTTATTCAGAGCAGTTTTGAAACACTCTTTTTGTGGAATTTGCAAGTGGAGATTTCAAGCGAATTCACGCCAATCTTAGACATGGAAACATCTTCGTATTAAAAGTACACAGAGTCATTCGCAGAAACTAGTTTGTGATGTGTGCCTTCAACTCACGGAGTTTAACCTTTCTTTTCATAGAGCAGTTTGGAAACACTCTATTTGTAAAGTCTGCAAGTGGATATTTGGACCTCTTTGAGGCCTTCGTTGGAAACGGGATTTCTTCATATAACGCTAGACAGAAGAATTCTCAGTAACTTCTTTGTGTTGTTTGTATTCAACTCACAGATTTGAACCTTCCTTTAGAGAGAGCAGATTTGAAACACTCTGTTTTTGGAATTTGCAAGTGCAGATTACAAGCGCTTCTAGGCCTATGGCAGAAAAGGAAATATCTTCGTATAAAAACTACACAGAATCATTCTCAACAACTACTTTGTGATGTGTGCGTTCAACTCACAGAGTTTAACCTTTCTTTTCATAGAGCAGTTTGGAAACACTCTGTTTGTAAAGCCTGCAAGTGCTTTTTTGGACTTCATTGAGGCCTTCGTTGGAAACGGGATTTCTTCATATAATGCTAGACAGAAGAATTCTCAGTCACTTCTTTGTGTTGTGTGTATTCAAGTAACAGAGTTGAACCTTCCTTTACACAGAGCAGTTTTGAAAAACTCTTTCTGTGGAATTTGCAAGTGGAGATTTCAAGCGATTTGAGGCTAATCTTTGAAATGGAAATAGCTTCGTGTAAAAACTACACAGAATCATTCTCAGAAACTGCTTTGTCATCTGTGCGTTCAGTTCACAGAGTTTCACCTTTCTCTTCATAGAGCAGTTTGGAAAGACTCTGTCTGTAAAGTCTGCAAGTGATTAGTTAGACCCCTTTGAGGCCTTCGTTGGAAGCGGGATTTCTCATTTACTGCTAGACAGAAGAATTCTCAGTAAATCCTTTGTGTTGTGTGTATTCAACTCACAGAGTGGAACCTTCCTTTATTCAGAGCAGTTTTGAAACACTCTTTTTGTGGAAATTGCAAGTGGAGATTTCAAGCGAATTCACGCCAATCTTAGACATGGAAACATCTTCGTATTAAAAGTACACAGAGTCATTCGCAGAAACTAGTTTGTGATGTGTGCCTTCAACTCACAGAGTTTAACCTTTCTTTTCATAGAGCAGTTTGGAAACACTCTATTTGTAAAGTCTGCAAGTGGATATTTGGACCTCTTTGAGGCCTTCGTTGGAAACGGGATTTCTTCATATAACGCTAGACAGAAGAATTCTCAGTAACTTCTTTGTGTTGTTTGTATTCAACTCACAGATTTGAACCTTCCTTTAGAGAGAGCAGATTTGAAACACTCTGTTTTTGGAATTTGCAAGTGCAGATTACAAGCGCTTCTAGGCCTATGGCAGAAAAGGAAATATCTTCGTATAAAAACTACACAGAATCATTCTCAACAACTACTTTGTGATGTGTGCGTTCAACTCACAGAGTTTAACCTTTCTTTTCATAGAGCAGTTTGGAAACACTCTGTTTGTAAAGCCTGCAAGTGCTTTTTTGGACTTCATTGAGGCCTTCGTTGGAAACGGGATTTCTTCATATAATGCTAGACAGAAGAATTCTCAGTCACTTCTTTGTGTTGTGTGTATTCAAGTCACAGAGTTGAACCTTCCTTTACACAGAGCAGTTTTGAAAAACTCTTTCTGTGGAATTTGCAAGTGGAGATTTCAAGCGATTTGAGGCTAATCTTTGAAATGGAAATATCTTCGTGTAAAAACTACACAGAATCATTCTCAGAAACTGCTTTGTCATCTGTGCGTTCAGTTCACAGAGTTTCACCTTTCTCTTCATAGAGCAGTTTGGAAAGACTCTGTCTGTAAAGTCTGCAAGTGATTAGTTAGACCCCTTTGAGACCTTCGTTGGAAACGGGATTTCTCATTTACTGCTAGACAGAAGAATTCTCAGTAAATCCTTTGTGTTGTGTGTATTCAACTCACAGAGTGGAACCTTCCTTTATTCAGAGCAGTTTTGAAACACTCTTTTTGTGGAATTTGCAAGTGGAGATTTCAAGCGATTTGACGCCAATCTTAGACATGGAAATATCTTCATATTAAAAGTACACAGAGTCATTCGTAGAAACTAGTTTGTGATGTGTGCCTTCAACTCACAGAGTTTAACCTTTCTTTTCATAGAGCAGTTGGGAAACACTCTATTTGTAAAGTCTGCAAGTGGATATTTGGACCTCTTTGAGGCCTTCGTTGGAAACGGGATTTCTTCATATAACGCTAGACAGAAGAATTCTCAGTAACTTCTTTGTGTTGTTTGTATTCAACTCACAGATTTGAACCTTCCTTTGGAGAGAGCAGATTTGAAACACTCTGTTTTTGGAATTTGCAAGTGCAGATTGCAAGCGCTTCTAGTCCTATGGCAGAAAAGGAAATATCTTCGTATAAAAACTACACAGAATCATTCTCAACAACTACTTTGTGATGTGTGCGTTCAACTCACAGAGTTTAACCTTTCTTTTCATAGAGCAGTTTGGAAACACTCTGTTTGTAAAGTCTGCAGGTGCTTATTTGGACTTCTTTGAGGCCTTCGTTGGAAACGGGATTTCTTCATATAATGCTAGACAGAAGAATTCTCAGTCACTTCTTTGTGTTGTGTGTATTCAAGTCACAGAGTTGAACCTTCCTTTACACAGAGCAGTTTTGAAAAACTCTTTCTGTGGAATTTGCAAGTGGAGATTTCAAGCGATTTGAGGCTAATCTTTGAAATGGAAATAGCTTCGTGTAAAAACTACACAGAATCATTCTCAGAAACTGCTTTGTTATGTGTGCGTTCAGCTCACAGAGTTCCACCTTTCTTTTCATAGAGCAGTTTGGAAAGACTCTGTCTGTAAAGTCTGCAAGTGATTACTTGGTCCCCTTTGAGGACTTCGTTGGAAGCGGGATTTTTTCATTTACTGCTAGACAGAAGAATTCTCAGTAAATCCTTTGTGTTGTGTGTATTCAACTCACAGAGTGGAACCTTCCTTTATTCAGAGCAGTTTTGAAACACTCTTTTTGTGGAATTTGCAAGTGGAGATTTCAAGCGAATTCACGCCAATCTTAGACATGGAAACATCTTCGTATTAAAAGTACACAGAGTCATTCGCAGAAACTAGTTTGTGATGTGTGCCTTCAACTCACAGAGTTTAACCTTTCTTTTCATAGAGCAGTTTGGAAACACTCTATTTGTAAAGTCTGCAAGTGGATATTTGGACCTCTTTGAGGCCTTCGTTGGAAACGGGATTTCTTCATATAACGCTAGACAGAAGAATTCTCAGTAACTTCTTTGTGTTGTTTGTATTCAACACACAGATTTGAACCTTCCTTTAGAGAGAGCAGATTTGAAACACTCTGTTTTTGGAATTTGCAAGTGCAAATTTCAAGCGCTTCTAGGCCTATGGCAGCAAAGGAAATATCTTCGTATAAAAACTACACAGAATCATTCTCAGAAAACACTTTGTGATGTGTGTGTTCAACTCACAGAGTTTAACCTTTCTGTAATCGAGCAGTTTGGAAATACACTCTTTGTAAGTCTGCAGGTGGATAATTGTCCCTCTATGAGCCCTTCGTTGGAAACGGGATTTCCTCATATAATGCTAGACAGAAGAATTCTCAGTCACTTCTTTGTGTTGTGTGTATTCAAGTCACAGAGTTGAACCTTCGTTTACACAGAGCAGTTTTGAAAAACTCTTCCTGTGGAATTTGCAAGTGGAGATTTCAAGCGATTTGAGGCTAATCTTTGAAATGGAAACATCTTCGTGTAAAAACTACACAGAATCATTCTCAGAAACTGCTTTGTTATGTGTGCGTTCAGCTCACAGAGTTCCACCTTTCTTTTCATAGAGCAGTTTGGAAAGACTCTGTCTGTAAAGTCTGCAAGTGATTACTTGGACCCCTTTGAGGACTTCGTTGGAAGCGGGATTTTTTCATTTACTGCTAGACAGAAGAATTCTCAGTAAATCCTTTGTGTTGTGTGTATTCAACTCACAGAGTGGAACCTTCCTTTATTCAGAGCAGTTTTGAAAAACACTTTTTGTGGAATTTGCAAGTGGAGATTTCAAGCGATTTGACGCCAATCTTAGACATGGAAATATCTTCATATTAAAAGTACACAGAGTCATTCGCAGAAACTAGTTTGTGATGTGTGCCTTCAACTCACAGAGTTTAAGCTTTCTTTTCATAGAGCAGTTTGGAAACACTCTATTTGTAAAGTCTGCAAGTGGATATTTGGACCTCTTTGAGGCCTTCGTTGGAAACGGGATTTCTTCATATAACGCTAGACAGAAGAATTCTCAGTAACTTCTTTGTGTTGTGTGTATTCAACTCACAGAGTTGAATCTTTCTTTAGAGAGAGCAGAGTTGAAACACTCTGTTTTTGGAATTTGCAACTGCAGATTTCAAGCGATTCTAGGCCTATGGCAGAAAAGGAAATATCTTCGTATAAAAACGACACAGAATCATTCTCAGAAAACTCTTTGTGATGTGTGTGTTCAACTCACAGAGTTTAACCTTTCTTTAATCGAGCAGTTTGGAAATACACTCTTTGTAAGTCTGCAGGTGGATATTTGGCCCTCTTTGAGCCCTTCGTTGGAAACGGGATTTCCTCATATAATGCTAGACAGAAGAATTCTCAGTCACTTCTTTGTGTTGTGTGTATTCAAGTCACAGAGTTGAACCTTCCTTTAGACAGAGCAGTTTTGAAAAATTCTTTCTGTGGAGTTTGCAAGTGGAGATTTCAAGCGATTTGAGGCTAATCTTTGAAATGGAAATATCTTCGTGT
The DNA here is from genome assembly GCF_000001405.40 of Homo sapiens. Lineage (NCBI taxonomy): Eukaryota > Metazoa > Chordata > Mammalia > Primates > Hominidae > Homo > Homo sapiens. Next base: position 41,261,157 of record NC_000010.11, read on the forward strand.
AAAAACTACACAGAATCATTCTCAGAAACTGCTTTGTTATGTGTGCGTTCAGCTCACAGAGTTCCACCTTTCTTTTCATAGAGCAGTTTGGAAAGACTCTGTCTGTAAAGTCTGCAAGTGATTACTTGGACCCCTTTGAGGACTTCGTTGGAAGCGGGATTTTTTCATTTACTGCTAGACAGAAGAATTCTCAGTAAATCATTTGTGTTGCGTTTATTCAACTCACAGAGTGGAACCTTCCTTTATTCAGAGCAGTTTTGAAACACTCTTTTTGTGGAATTTGCAAGTGGAGATTTCAAGCGATTTGACGCCAATCTTAGACATGGAAATATCTTCATATTAAAAGTACACAGAGTCATCCGTAGAAACTAGTTTGTGATGTGTGCCTTCAACTCACAGAGTTTAACCTTTCTTTTCATAGAGCAGTTTGGAAACACTCTATTTGTAAAGTCTGCAAGTGGATATTTGGACCTCTTTGAGGCCTTCGTTGGAAACGGTATTTCTTCATACAACGCCAGACAGAACAATTCTCAGTAACTTCTTTGTGTTGTGTGTATTCAACTCACAGAGTTGAACCTTTCTTTAGAGAGAGCAGAGTTGAAACACTCTGTTTTTGGAATTTGCAAGTGCAGATATCAAGCGATTCTAGGCCTATGGCAGAAAAGGAAATATCTTCGTATAAAAACTGCACAGAATCATTCTCAACAACTACTTTTTGATGTGTGCGTTCACCTCACAGAGCTTAACATTTCTTTTCATAGAGCAGTTTGGAAACACTCTGTTTGTAAAGTCTGCAGGTGCTTATTTGGACTTCTTTGAGGCCTTCGTTGGAAACGGGATTTCTTCATATAATGCTAGACAGAAGAATTCTCAGTCACTTCTTTGTGTTGTGTGTATTCAAGTCACAGAGTTGAACCTTCCTTTACACAGAGCAGTTTTGAAAAACTCTTTCTGTGGAATTTGCAAGTGGAGATTTCAAGCGATTTGAGGCTAATCTTTGAAATGGAAATAGCTTCGTGTAAAAACTACACAGAATCATTCTCAGAAACTGCTTTGTCATCTGTGCGTTCAGTTCACAGAGTTTCACCTTTCTCTTCATAGAGCAGTTTGGAAAGACTCTGTCTGTAAAGTCTGCAAGTGATTAGTTAGACCCCTTTGAGGCCTTCGTTGGAAGCGGGATTTCTCATTTACTGCTAGACAGAAGAATTCTCAGTAAATCCTTTGTGTTGTGTGTATTCAACTCACAGAGTGGAACCTTCCTTTATTCAGAGCAGTTTTGAAACACTCTTTTTGTGGAATTTGCAAGTGGAGATTTCAAGCGATTTGACGCCAATCTTAGACATGGAAATATCTTCATATTAAAAGTACACAGAGTCATTCGCAGAAACTAGTTTGTGATGTGTGCCTTCAACTCACGGAGTTTAACCTTTCTTTTCATAGAGCAGTTTGGAAACACTCTATTTGTAAAGTCTGCAAGTGGATATTTGGACCTCTTTGAGGCCTTCGTTGGAAACGGGATTTCTTCATATAACGCTAGACAGAAGAATTCTCAGTAACTTCTTTGTGTTGTTTGTATTCAACACACAGATTTGAACCTTCCTTTAGAGAGAGCAGATTTGAAACACTCTGTTTTTGGAATTTGCAAGTGCAAATTTCAAGCGCTTCTAGGCCTATGGCAGCAAAGGAAATATCTTCGTATAAAAACTACACAGAATCATTCTCAACAACTACTTTGTGATGTGTGCGTTCAACTCACAGAGTTTAACCTTTCTTTTCATAGAGCAGTTTGGAAACACTCTGTTTGTAAAGTCTGCAGGTGCTTATTTGGACTTCTTTGAGGCCTTCGTTGGAAACGGGATTTCTTCATGTAATGCTAGACAGAAGAATTCTCAGTCACTTCTTTGTGTTGTGTGTATTCAAGTCACAGAGTTGAACCTTCCTTTAGACAGAGCAGTTTTGAAAAATTCTTTCTGTGGAGTTTGCAAGTGGAGATTTCAAGCGATTTGAGGCTAATCTTTGAAATGGAAATATCTTCGTGTAAAAACTACACAGAATCATTCTCAGAAACTGCTTTGTTATGTGTGCGTTCAGCTCACAGAGTTCCACCTTTCTTTTCATAGAGCAGTTTGGAAAGACTCTGTCTGTAAAGTCTGCAAGTGATTACTTGGACCCCTTTGAGGACTTCGTTGGAAGCGGGATTTTTTCATTTACTGCCAGACAGAAGAATTCTCAGTAAATCCTTTGTGTTGTGTGTATTCAACTCACAGAGTGGAACCTTCCTTTATTCTGAGCAGTTTTGAAACACTCTTTTTGTGGAATTTGCAAGTGGAGATTTCAAGCGAATTCACGCCAATCTTAGACATGGAAACATCTTCGTATTAAAAGTACACAGAGTCATTCGCAGAAACTAGTTTGTGATGTGTGCCTTCAACTCACGGAGTTTAACCTTTCTTTTCATAGAGCAGTTTGGAAACACTCTATTTGTAAAGTCTGCAAGTGGATATTTGGACCTCTTTGAGGCCTTCGTTGGAAACGGGATTTCTTCATATAACGCTAGACAGAAGAATTCTCAGTAACTTCTTTGTGTTGTGTGTATTCCACTCACAGAGTTGAACCTTTCTTGAGAGAGAGCAGAGTTGAAACACTCTGTTTGTGGAATTTGCTAGTGCAGATTTCAAACGCTTCGAAGACAGTGATAGAAAAGGATATATCTTCGTATTAAAACTAGACAAAATCATTCTCAGAAAACACTTTGTGATGTGTGTGTTCAACTCACAGAGTTTAACCTTTCTTTAATCGAGCAGTTTGGAAATACACTCTTTGTAAGTCTGCAGGTGGATAATTGGCCCTCTTTGAGCCCTTCGTTGGAAACGGGATTTCCTCATATAATGCTAGACAGAAGAATTCTCAGTCACTTCTTTGTGTTGTGTGTATTCAAGTCACAGAGTTGAACCTTCCTTTAGACAGAGCAGTTTTGAAAAATTCTTTCTGTGGAGTTTGCAAGTGGAGATTTCAAGCGATTTGAGGCTAATCTTTGAAATGGAAATATCTTCGTGTAAAAACTACACAGAATCATTCTCAGAAACTGCTTTGTTATGTGTGCGTTCAGCTCGCAGAGTTCCACCTTTCTTTTCATAGAGCAGTTTGGAAAGACTCTGTCTGTAAAGTCTGCAAGTGATTACTTGGACCCCTTTGAGGACTTCGTTGGAAGCGGGATTTTTTCATTTACTGCTAGACAGAAGAATTCTCAGTAAATCCTTTGTGTTGTGTGTATTCAACTCACAGAGTGGAACCTTCCTTTATTCAGAGCAGTTTTGAAACACTCTTTTTGTGGAATTTGCAAGTGGAGATTTCAAGCGATTTGACGCCAATCTTAGACATGGAAATATCTTCATATTAAAAGTACACAGAGTCATTCGCAGAAACTAGTTTGTGATGTGTGCCTTCAACTCACGGAGTTTAACCTTTCTTTTCATAGAGCAGTTTGGAAACACTCTATTTGTAAAGTCTGCAAGTGGATATTTGGACCTCTTTGAGGCCTTCGTTGGAAACGGGATTTCTTCATATAACGCTAGACAGAAGAATTCTCAGTAACTTCTTTGTGTTGTGTGTATTCAACTCACAGAGTTGAATCTTTCTTTAGAGAGAGCAGAGTTGAAACACTCTGTTTTTGGAATTTGGAAGTGCAGATTTCAAGGGATTCTAGGCCTATGGCAGAAAAGGAAATATCTTCGTATAAAAACTACACAGAATCATTCTCAACAACTACTTTGTGATGTGTGCGTTCAACTCACAGAGTTTAACCTTTCTTTTCATAGAGCAGTTTGGAAACACTCTGTTTGTAAAGTCTGCAGGTGCTTATTTGGACTTCTTTGAGGCCTTCGTTGGAAACGGGATTTCTTCATATAATGCTAGACAGAAGAATTCTCAGTAACTTCTTTGTGTTGTGTGTATTCAACTCACAGAGTTGAACCTTCCTTTAGAGAGAGCAGAGTTGAAACACTCTGTTTTTGGAATTAGCAAGTGCAGATTTCAAGCGGTTCTAGGCCTATGGCAGAAAAGGAAATATCTTCGTATAAAAACTACACAGAATCATTCTCAACAACTACTTTGTGATGTGTGGTTTCAACTCACAAAGTTTAACCTTTCTTTTCATAGAGCAGTTTGGAAACCCTCTGTTTGTAAAGCCTGCAATTGCTTTTTTGGACTTCATTGAGGCCTTCGTTGGAAAGGGGATTTCTTCATATAATGCTAGACAGAAGAATTCTCAGTAAATCCTTTGTGTTGTGTGTATTCAACTCACAGAGTGGAACCTTCCTTTATTCAGAGCAGTTTTGAAACACTCTTTTTGTGGAATTTGCAAGTGGAGATTTCAAGCGATTTGACGCCAATCATAGACATGGAAATATCTTCATATTAAAAGTACACAGAGTCATTCGTAGAAACTAGTTTGTGATGTGTGCCTTCAACTCACAGAGTTTAACCTTTATTTTCATAGAGCAGTTCGGAAACACTCTATTTGTAAAGTCTGCAAGTCGATATTTGGACCTCTTTGAGGCCTTCGTTGGAAACGGGATTTCTTCATATAACGCTAGACAGAAGAATTCTCAGTAACTTCTTTGTGTTGTGTGTATTCAACTCACAGAGTTGAACCTTTCTTTAGAGAGAGCAGAGTTGAAACACTCTTTTTGTGGAATTTGCTAGTGCAGATTTCAAACGCTTCGAAGACAGTGATAGAAAAGGATATATCTTCGTATTAAAACTAGACAAAATCATTCTCAGAAAACACTTTGTGATGTGTGTGTTCAACGCACAGTGTTTAACCTTTCTTTAATCGAGCAGTTTGGAAATACACTCTTTGTAAGTCTGCAGGTGGATAATTGGCCCTCTTTGAGCCCTTCGTTGGAAACGGGATTTCCTCATATAATGTTAGACAGAAGAATTCTCAGTCACTTCTTTGTGTTGTGTGTATTCAAGTCACAGAGTTGAACCTTCCTTTACACAGAGCAGTTTTGAAAAACTCTTTCTGTGGAATTTGCAAGTGGAGATTTCAAGCGATTTGAGGCTAATCTTTGAAATGGAAATAGCTTCGTGTAAAAACTACACAGAATCATTCTCAGAAACTGCTTTGTCATCTGTGCGTTCAAGTTCACAGAGTTTCACCTTTCTCTTCATAGAGCAGTTTGGAAAGACTCTGTCTGTAAAGTCTGCAAGTGATTAGTTAGACCCCTTTGAGGCCTTCGTTGGAAGTGGGATTTCTCATTTACTGCTAGACAGAAGAATTCTCAGTAAATCCTTTGTGTTGTGTGTATTCAACTCACAGAGTGGAACCTTCCTTTATTCACAGCAGTTTTGAAACACTCTTTTTGTGGAATTTGCAAGTGGAGATTTCAAGCGATTTGACGCCAATCTTAGACATGGAAATATCTTCATATTAAAAGTACACAGAGTCATTCTTAGAAACTAGTTTGTGAAGTGTGCCTTCAACTCACAGAGTTTAACCTTTCTTTTCATAGAGCAGTTTAGAAACACTCTATTTCTAAAGTTTGCAAGTGGATATTTGGACCTCTTTGAGGCCTTCGTTGGAAACGGGATTTCTTCATATAACGCTAGACAGAAGAATTCTCAGTAACTTCTTTGTGTTGTGTGTATTCAACTCACAGAGTTGAACCTTTCTTTAGAGAGAGCAGAGTTGAAACACTCTGTTTTTGGAATTTGCAACTGCAGATTTCAAGCGATTCTAGGCCTATGGCAGAAAAGGAAATATCTTCGTATAAAAACTACACAGAATCATTCTCAACAACTACTTTGTGATGTGTGCGTTCAACTCACAGAGTTTAACCTTTCTTTTCATAGAGCAGTTTGGAAACACTCTGTTTGTAAAGTCTGCAGGTGCTTATTTGGACTTCTTTGAGGCCTTCGTTGGAAACGGGATTTCTTCATATAATGCTAGACAGAAGAATTCTCAGTCACTTCTTTGTGTTGTGTGTATTCAAGTCACAGAGTTGAACCTTCTTTTAGACAGAGCAGTTTTGAAAAATTTTTTCTGTGGAATTTGCAAGTGGAGATTTCAAGCGATTTGAGGCTAATCTTTGAAATGGAAATATCTTCGTGTAAAAACTACACAGAATCATTCTCAGAAACTGCTTTGTCATCTGTGCGTTCAGTTCACAGAGTTTCACCTTTCTCTTCATAGAGCAGTTTGGAAAGACTCTGTCTGTAAAGTCTGCAAGTGATTAGTTAGACCCCTTTGAGGCCTTCGTTGGAAGCGGGATTTCTCATTTACTGCTAGACAGAAGAATTCTCAGTAAATCCTTTGTGTTGTGTGTATTCAACTCACAGAGTGGAACCTTCCTTTATTCAGAGCAGTTTTGAAAAACACTTTTTGTGGAATTTGCAAGTGGAGATTTCAAGCGATTTGACGCCAATCTTAGACATGGAAATATCTTCATATTAAAAGTACACAGAGTCATTCGTAGAAACTAGTTTGTGATGTGTGCCTTCAACTCACAGAGTTTAACTTTTCTTTTCATAGAGCAGTTTGGAAACACTCTGTTTGTAAAGTCTGCAAGTGGATATTTGGACCTCTTTGAGGCCTTCGTTGGAAACGGGATTTCTTCATACAACGCTAGACAGAAGAATTCTCAGTAACTTCTTTGTGTTGTTTGTATTCAACACACAGATTTGAACCTTCCTTTAGAGAGAGCAGATTTGAAACACTCTGTTTTTGGAATTTGCAAGTGCAGATTTCAAGCGCTTCTAGGCCTATGGCAGAAAAGGAAATATCTTCGTATAAAAACTACACAGAAATCATTCTCAACAACTACTTTGTGATGTGTGCGTTCAACTCACAGAGTTTAACCTTTCTTTTCATAGAGCAGTTTGGAAACACTCTGTTTGTAAAGCCTGCAAGTGCTTTCTTGGACTTCATTGAGGCCTTCGTTGGAAACGGGATTTCTTCATATAATGCTAGACAGAAGAATTCTCAGTCACTTCTTTGTGTTGTGTGTATTCAAGTCACAGAGTTGAACCATCTTTTAGACAGAGCAGTTTTGAAAAATTCATTCTGTGGAATTTGCAATTGGAGATTTTAAGCGATTTGAGGCTAATCTTTGAAATGGAAATATCTTCGTGTAAAAACTACACAGAATCATTCTCAGAAACTGCTTTGTCATCTGTGCGTTCAGTTCACAGAGTTTCACCTTTCTCTTCATAGAGCAGTTTGGAAAGACTCTGTCTGTAAAGTCTGCAAGTGATTAGTTAGACCCCTTTGAGGCCTTCGTTGGAAGCGGGATTTCTCATTTACTGCTAGACAGAAGAATTCTCAGTAAATCCTTTGTGTTGTGTGTATTCAACTCACAGAGTGGAACCTTCCTTTATTCAGAGCAGTTTTGAAACACTCTTTTTGTGGAATTTGCAAGTGGAGATTTCAAGCGATTTGACGCCAATCTTAGACATGGAAAAATCTTCATATTAAAAGTACACAGAGTCATTCGTAGAAACTAGTTTGTGATGTGTGCCTTCAACTCACAGAGTTTAACCTTTCTTTTCATAGAGCAGTTTGGAAACACTCTATTTGTAAAGTCTGCAAGTGGATATTTGGACCTCTTTGAGGCCTTCGTTGGAAACGGGATTTCTTCATACAACGCTAGACAGAAGAATTCTCAGTAACTTCTTTGTGTTGTTTGTATTCAACACACAGATTTGAACCTTCCTTTAGAGAGAGCAGATTTGAAACACTCTGTTTTTGGAATTTGCAAGTGCAGATTTCAAGCGCTTCTAGGCCTATGGCAGAAAAGGAAATATCTTCGTATAAAAACTACACAGAATCATTCTCAGAAAACACTTTGTGATGTGTGTGTTCAACTCACAGAGTTTAACCTTTCTTTAATCGAGCAGTTTGGAAATACACTCTTTGTAAGTCTGCAGCTGGATAATTGTCCCTCTATGAGCCCTTCGTTGGAAACGGGATTTCCTCTTATAATGCTAGACAGAAGAATTCTCAGTCACTTCTTTGTGTTGTGTGTATTCAAGTCACAGAGTTGAACCTTCCTTTACACAGAGCAGTTTTGAAAAACTCTTTCTGTGGAATTTGCAAGTGGAGATTTCAAGCGATTTGAGGCTAATCTTTGAAATGGAAATATCTTCGTGTAAAAACTACACAGAATCATTCTCAGAAACTGCTTTGTTATGTGTGCGTTCAGCTCACAGAGTTCCACCTTTCTTTTCATAGAGCAGTTTGGAAAGACTCTGTCTGTAAAGTCTGCAAGTGATTACTTGGACCCCTTTGAGGACTTCGTTGGAAGCGGGATTTTTTCATTTACTGCTAGACAGAAGAATTCTCAGTAAATCCTTTGTGTTGTGTGTATTCAACTCACAGAGTGGAACCTTCCTTTATTCAGAGCAGTTTTGAAACACTCTTTTTGTGGAATTTGCAAGTGGAGATTTCAAGCGAATTCACGCCAATCTTAGACATGGAAACATCTTCGTATTAAAAGTACACAGAGTCATTCGCAGAATCTTGTTTGTGATGTGTGCCTTCAACTCACAGAGTTTAACCTTTCTTTTCATAGAGCAGTTTGGAAACACTCTATTTGTAAAGTCTGCAAGTGGATATTTGGACCTCTCTGAGGCCTTCGTTGGAAACGGGATTTCTTCATATAATGCTAGACAGAAGAATTCTCAGTAACTTCTTTGTGTTGTGAGTATTCAACTCACAGAGTTGAACCTTTCTTTAGAGGGAGCAGAGGTGAAACACTCTTTTTGTGGAATTTGCTAGTGTAGATTTCAAACGCTTCGAAGACAGTGATAGAAAAGGATATATCTTCGTATTAAAAGTAGACAAAATCATTCTCAACAACTACTTTGTGATGTGTGCGTTCAACTCACAGAGTTTAACCTTTCTTTTCATAGACCAGTTTGGAAACACTCTGTTTGTAAAGCCTGCAAGTGCTATTTGGACTTCATTGAGGCCTTCGTTGGAAACGGGATTTCTTCATGTAATGCTAGACAGAAGAATTCTCAGTCACTTCTTTGTGTTGTGTGTATTCAAGTCACAGAGTTGAACCTTCCATTACACAGAGCAGTTTTGAAAAACTCTTTCTGTGTAATTTGCAAGTGGAGATGTCAAGCGATTTGAGGCTAATCTTTGAAATGGAAATATCTTCGTGTAAAAACTACACAGAATCATTCTCAGAAACTGCTTTGTCATCTGTGCGTTCAGTTCACAGAGTTTCACCTTTCTCTTCATAGAGCAGTTTGGAAAGACTCTGTCTGTAAAGTCTGCAAGTGATTAGTTAGACCCCTTTGAGGCCTTCGTTGGAAGCGGGATTTCTCATTTACTGCTAGACAGAAGAATTCTCAGTAAATCCTTTGTGTTGTGTGTATTCAACTCACAGAGTGGAACCTTCCTTTATTCAGAGCAGTTTTGAAACACTCTTTTTGTGGAATTTGCAAGTGGAGATTTCAAGCGAATTCACGCCAATCTTAGACATGGAAACATCTTCGTATTAAAAGTACACAGAGTCATTCATAGAAACTAGTTTGTGATGTGTGCCTTCAACTCACAGAGTTTAACCTTTCTTTTCATAGAGCAGTTGGGAAACACTCTATTTGTAAAGTCTGCAAGTGGATATTTGGACCTCTTTGAGGCATTCTTTGGAAACGGGATTTCTTCATATAACCCTAGACAGAAGAATTCTCAGTAACTTCTTTGTGTTGTGTGTATTCAACTCACAGAGTTGAACCTTTCTTTAGAGAGAGCAGAGTTGAAACACTCTGTTTTTGGAATTTGCAAGTGCAGATTTCAAGCGATTCTAGGCCTATGGCAGAAAAGGAAATATCTTCGTATAAAAACTACACAGAATCATTCTCAACAACTACTTTGTGATGTGTGCGTTCAACTCACAGAGTTTAACCTTTCTTTTCATAGAGCAGTTTGGAAACACTCTGTTTGTAAAGCCTGCAAGTGCTTTTTTGGACTTCATTGAGGCCTTCGTTGGAAACGGGATTTCTTCATATAATGCTAGACAGAAGAATTCTCAGTCACTTCTTTGTGTTGTGTGTATTCAAGTCACAGAGTTGAACCTTCCTTTACACAGAGCAGTTTTGAAAAACTCTTCCTGTGGAATTTGCAAGTGGAGATTTCAAGCGATTTGAGGCTAATCTTTGAAATGGAAATATCTTCGTGTAAAAACTACACAGAATCATTCTCAGAAACTGCTTTGTTATGTGTGCGTTCAGCTCACAGAGTTCCACCTTTCTTTTCATAGAGCAGTTTGGAAAGACTCTGTCTGTAAAGTCTGCAAGTGATTACTTGGACCCCTTTGAGGACTTCGTTGGAAGCGGGATTTTTTCATTTACTGCTAGACAGAAGAATTCTCAGTAAATCCTTTGTGTTGTGTGTATTCAACTTACAGATTGGAACCTTCCTTTATTCAGAGCAGTTTTGAAACACTCTTTTTGTGGAATTTGCAAGTGGAGATTTCAAGCGATTTGACGCCAATCTTAGACATGGAAATATCTTCATATTAAAAGTACACAGAGTCATTCGTAGAAACTAGTTTGTGATGTGTGCCTTCAACTCACAGAGTTTAACCTTTCTTTTCATAGAGCAGTTGGGAAACACTCTATTTGTAAAGTCTGCAAGTGGATATTTGGACCTCTTTGAGGCCTTCGTTGGAAACGGGATTTCTTCATATAACGCTAGACAGAAGAATTCTCAGTAACTTCTTTGTGTTGTGTGTATTCCACTCACAGTAGTTGAACCTTTCTTGAGAGAGAGCAGAGTTGAAACACTCTGTTTGTGGAATTTGCTAGTGCAGATTTCAAACGCTTCGAAGACAGTGATAGAAAAGGATATATCTTCGTATTAAAACTAGACAAAATCATTCTCAGAAAACACTTTGTGATGTGTGTGTTCAACTCACAGAGTTTAACCTTTCTTTAATCGAGCAGTTTGGAAATACACTCTTTGTAAGTCTGCAGCTGGATAATTGTCCCTCTATGAGCCCTTCGTTGGAAACGGGATTTCCTCATATAATGCTAGACAGAAGAATTCTCAGTCACTTCTTTGTGTTGTGTGTATTCAAGTCACAGAGTTGAACCTTCCTTTAGACAGAGCAGTTTTGAAAAATTCTTTCTGTGTAATTTGCAAGTGGAGATTTCAAGCGATTTGAGGCTAATCTTTGAAATGGAAATATCTTCGTGTAAAAACTACACAGAAATCATTGTCAGAAACTGCTTTGTTATGTGTGCGTTCAGCTCACAGAGTTCCACCTTTCTTTTCATAGAGCAGTTTGGAAAGACTCTGTCTGTAAAGTCTGCAAGTGATTACTTGGACCCCTTTGAGGACTTCGTTGGAAGCGGGATTTTTTCATTTACTGCTAGACAGAAGAATTCTCAGTAAATCCTTTATGTTGTGTTTATTCAACTCACAGAGTGGAACCTTCCTTTATTCAGAGCAGTTTTGAAACACTCTTTTTGTGGAATTTGCAAGTGGAGATTTCAAGCGATTTGACTCCAATCTTAGACATGGAAATATCTTCATATTAAAAGTACACAGAGTCATTCGTAGAAACTAGATTGTGATGTGTGCCTTCAACTCACAGAGTTTAACCTTTCTTTTCATAGAGCAGTTCGGAAACACTCTATTTGTAAAGTCTGCAAGTGGATATTTGGACCTCTTTGAGGCCTTCATTGGAAACGGGATTTCTTCATATAACGCTAGACAGAAGAATTCTCAGTAACTTCTTTGTGTTGTTTGTATTCAACTCACAGATTTGAACCTTCCTTTGGAGAGAGCAGATTTGAAACACTCTGTTTTTGGAATTTGCAAGTGCAGATTGCAAGCGCTTCTAGGCCTATGGCAGAAAAGGAAATATCTTCGTATAAAAACTACACAGAATCATTCTCAACAACTACTTTGTGATGTGTGCGTTCAACTCACAGAGTTTAACCTTTCTTTTCATAGAGCAGTTTGGAAACACTCTGTTTGTAAAGCCTGCAAGTGCGTTTTTGGACTTCATTGAGGCCTTCGTTGGAAACGGGATTTCTTCATATAATGCTAGACAGAAGAATTCTCAGTCACTTCTTTGTGTTGTGTGTATTCAAGTCACAGAGTTGAACCTTCCTTTAGACAGAGCAGTTTTGAAAAATTCTTTCTGTGGAATTTGCAAGTGGAGATTTCAAGCGATTTGAGGCTAATCTTTGAAATGGAAATATCTTCGTGTAAAAACTACACAGAATCATTGTCAGAAACTGCTTTGTTATGTGTGCGTTCAGCTCACAGAGTTCCACCTTTCTTTTCATAGAGCAGTTTGGAAAGACTCTGTCTGTAAAGTCTGCAAGTGATTACTTGGACCCCTTTGAGGACTTCGTTGGAAGCGGGATTTTTTCATTTACTGCTAGACAGAAGAATTCTCAGTAAATCCTTTGTGTTGTGTGTATTCAACTCACAGAGTGGAACCTTCCTTTATTCAGAGCAGTTTTGAAACACTCTTTTTGTGGAATTTGCAAGTGGAGATTTCAAGCGAATTCACGCCAATCTTAGACATGGAAACATCTTCGTATTAAAAGTACACAGAGTCATTCGCAGAAACTAGTTTGTGATGTGTGCCTTCAACTCACGGAGTTTAACCTTTCTTTTCATAGAGCAGTTTGGAAACACTCTATTTGTAAAGTCTGCAAGTGGATATTTGGACCTCTTTGAGGCCTTCGTTGGAAACGGGATTTCTTCATATAACGCTAGACAGAAGAATTCTCAGTAACTTCTTTGTGTTGTTTGTATTCAACTCACAGATTTGAACCTTCCTTTAGAGAGAGCAGATTTGAAACACTCTGTTTTCGGAATTTGCAAGTGCAGATTACAAGCGCTTCTAGGCCTATGGCAGAAAAGGAAATATCTTCGTATAAAAACTACACAGAATCATTCTCAACAACTACTTTGTGATGTGTGCGTTCAACTCACAGAGTTTAACCTTTCTTTTCATAGAGCAGTTTGGAAACACTCTGTTTGTAAAGTCTGCAGGTGCTTATTTGGACTTCTTTGAGGCCTTCGTTGGAAACGGGATTTCTTCATATAATGCTAGACAGAAGAATTCTCAGTCACTTCTTTGTGTTTTGTGTATTCAAGTCACAGAGTTGAACCTTCCTTTACACAGAGCAGTTTTGAAAAACTCTTTCTGTGGAATTTGCAAGTGGAGATTTCAAGCGATTTGAGGCTAATCTTTGAAATGGAAATAGCTTCGTGTAAAAACTACACAGAATCATTGTCAGAAACTGCTTTGTTATGTGTGCGTTCAGCTCACAGAGTTCCACCTTTCTTTTCATAGAGCAGTTTGGAAAGACTCTGTCTGTAAAGTCTGCAAGTGATTACTTGGACCCCTTTGAGGACTTCGTTGGAAGCGGGATTTTTTCATTTACTGCTAGACAGAAGAATTCTCAGTAACTTCTTTGTGTTGTGTGTATTCAACTCACAGATTTGAACCTTTCTTGAGAGAGAGCAGAGTTGAAACACTCTTTTTGTAGAATTTGCTAGTGCAGATTTCAAACGCTTCGAAGACAGTGATAGAAAAGGATATATCTTCGTATTAAAAGTAGACAAAATCATACTCAGAAAACACTTTGTGATGTGTGTGTTCAACTCACAGAGTTTAACCTTTCTTTAATCGAGCAGTTTGGAAATACACTCTTTGTAAGTCTGCAGGTGCATAATTGTCCCTCTATGAGCCCTTCGTTGTAAACGGGATTTCCTCATATAATGCTAGACAGAAGAATTCTCAGTAACTTCTTTGAGTTGTTTGTATTCAACTCACATATTTGAACCTTCCTTTAGAGAGAGCAGATTTGAAACACTCTGTTTTTGGAATTTGCAAGTGCAGATTTCAAGCGCTCCTAGGCCTATGGCAGAAAACGAAATATCTTCGTATAAAAACTACACAGAATCATTCTCAACAACTACTTTGTGATGTGTGCGTTCAACTCACAGAGTTTAACCTTTCTTTTCATAGAGCAGTTTGGAAACACTCTGTTTGTAAAGCCTGCAAGTGCTTTTTTGGACTTCATTGAGGCCTTCGTTGGAAACGGGATTTCTTCATATAATGCTAGACAGAAGAATTCTCAGTCACTTCTTTGTGTTGTGTGTATTCAAGTCACAGAGTTGAACCTTCCTTTAGACAGAGTAGTTTTGAAAAATTCTTTCTGTGGAGTTTGCAAGTGGAGATTTCAATCGATTTGAGGCTAATCTTTGAAATGGAAATATCTTCGTGTAAAAACTACACAGAAGCATTCTCAGAAACTGCTTTGTCATCTGTGCGTTCAGTTCACAGAGTTTCACCTTTCTCTTCATACAGCAGTTTGGAAAGACTCTGTCTGTAAAGTCTGCAAGTGATTAGTTAGACCCCTTTGAGGCCTTCGTTGGAAGCGGGATTTCTCATTTACTGCTAGACAGAAGAATTCTCAGTAAATCCTTTGTGTTGTGTGTATTCAACTCACAGAGTGGAACCTTCCTTTATTCAGAGCAGTTTTGAAAAACACTTTTTGTGGAATTTGCAAGTGGAGATTTCAAGCGATTTGACGCCAATCTTAGACATGGAAATATCTTCATATTAAAAGTACACAGAGTCATTCGTAGAAACTAGTTTGTGATGTGTGCCTTCAACTCACAGAGTTTAACCTTTCTTTTCATAGAGCAGTTGGGAAACACTCTATTTGTAAAGTCTGCAAGTGGATATTTGGACCTCTTTGAGGCCTTCGTTGGAAACGGGATTTCTTCATATAACGCTAGACAGAAGAATTCTCAGTAACTTCTTTGTGTTGTTTGTATTCAACTCACAGATTGAACCTTCCTTTAGAGAGAGCAGATTTGTAACACTCTGTTTTTGGAATTTGCAAGTGCAGATTACAAGCGCTTCTAGGCCTATGGCAGAAAAGGAAATATCTTCGTATAAAAACTACACAGAATCATTCTCAACAACTACTTTGTGATGTGTGCGTTCAACTCACAGAGTTTAACCTTTCTTTTCATAGAGCAGTTTGGAAACACTCTGTTTGTAAAGTCTGCAGGTGCTTATTTGGACTTCTTTGAGGCCTTCGTTGGAAACGGGATTTCTTCATATAATGCTAGACAGAAGAATTCTCAGTCACTTCTTTGTGTTGTGTGGATTCAAGTCACAGAGTTGAACCTTCCTTTACACAGAGCAGTTTTGAAAAACTCTTTCTGTGGAATTTGCAAGTGGAGATTTCAAGCGATTTGAGGCTAATCTTTGAAATGGAAATAGCTTCGTGTAAAAACTACACAGAATCATTCTCAGAAACTGCTTTGTTATGTGTGCGTTCAGCTCACAGAGTTCCACCTTTCTTTTCATAGAGCAGTTTGGAAAGACTCTGTCTGTAAAGTCTGCAAGTGATTACTTGGACCCCTTTGAGGACTTCGTTGGAAGCGGGATTTTTTCATTTACTGCTAGACAGAAGAATTCTCAGTAAATCCTTTGTGTTGTGTGTATTCAACTCACAGAGTGGAACCTTCCTTTATTCAGAGCAGTTTTGAAACACTCTTTTTGTGGAATTTGCAAGTGGAGATTTCAAGCGAATTCACGCCAATCTTAGACATGGAAACATCTTCGTATTAAAAGTACACAGAGTCATTCGTAGAAAGTAGTTTGTGATGTGTGCCTTCAACTCACAGAGTTTAACCTTTCTTTTCATAGAGCAGTTGGGAAACACTCTATTTGTAAAGTCTGCAAGTGGATATTTGGACCTCTTTGAGGCCTTCGTTGGAAACGGGATTTCTTCATATAACGCTAGACAGAAGAATTCTCAGTAACTTCTTGGTGTTGTGTGTATTCAACTCACAGAGTTGAACCTTTCTTTAGAGGGAGCAGAGGTGAAACACTCTTTTTGTGGAATTTGCTAGTGTAGATTTCAAACGCTTCGAAGACAGTGATAGAAAAGGATATATCTTCGTATTAAAAGTAGACAAAATCATTCTCAGAAAACTCTTTGTGATGTGTGTGTTCAACTCACAGAGTTTAACCTTTCTTTTCATAGAGCAGTTTGGAAACACTCTGTTTGTAAAGCCTGCAAGTGCTTTTTTGGACTTCATTGAGGCCTTCGTTGGAAACAGGATTTCTTCACACAACGCTAGACAGAAGAATTCTCAGTAACTTCTTTGTGTTGTGTGTATTCAACTCACAGAGTTGAACCTTTCTTTAGAGAGAGCAGAGTTGAAACACTCTGTTTTTGGAATTTGCAAGTTCAGATTTCAAGCGCTTCTAGGCCTAGGGCAGAAAAGGAAATATCTTCGTATAAAAACTACACAGAATCATTCTCAACAACTACTTTGTGATGTGTGCTTTCAACTCACAGAGTTTAACCTTTCTTTTCATAGAGCAGTTTGGAAACACTCTGTTTGTAAAGTCTGCAGGTGCTTATTTGGACTTCTTTGAGGCCTTCGTTGGAAACGGGATTTCTTCATATAATGCTAGACAGAAGAATTCTCAGTCACTTCTTTGTGTTGTGTGTATTCAAGTCACAGAGTTGAACCTTCCTTTACACAGAGCAGTTTTGAAAAACTCTTTCTGTGGAATTTGCAAGTGGAGATTTCAAGCGATTTGAGGCTAATCTTTGAAATGGAAATAGCTTCGTGTAAAAACTACACAGAATCATTCTCAGAAACTGCTTTGTTATGTGTGCGTTCAGCTCACAGAGTTCCACCTTTCTTTTCATAGAGCAGTTTGGAAAGACTCTGTCTGTAAAGTCTGCAAGTGATTACTTGGACCCCTTTGAGGACTTCGTTGGAAGCGGGATTTTTTCATTTACTGCTAGACAGAAGAATTCTCAGTAAATCCTTTGTGTTGTGTGTATTCAACTCACAGAGTGGAACCTTCCTTTATTCAGAGCAGTTTTGAAAAACACTTTTTGTGGAATTTGCAAGTGGAGATTTCAAGGGATTTGACGCCAATCTTAGACATGGAAATATCTTCATATTAAAAGTACACAGAGTCATTCGTAGAAACTAGTTTGTGATGTGTGCCTTCAACTCACAGAGTTTAACCTTTCTTTTCATAGAGCAGTTGGGAAACACTCTATTTGTAAAGTCTGCAAGTGGATATTTGGACCTCTTTGAGGCATTCTTTGGAAACGGGATTTCTTCATATAAGCCTAGACAGAAGAATTCTCAGTAACTTCTTTGAGTTGTTTGTATTCAACTCACTGATTTGAACCTTCCTTTAGAGAGAGCAGATTTGAAACACTCTGTTTTTGGAATTTGCAAGTGCAGATTTCAAGCGCTTCTAGGCCTATGGCAGAAAAGGAAATATCTTCGTATAAAAACTACACAGAATCATTCTCAACAACTACTTTGTGATGTGTGCGTTCAACTCACAGAGTTTAACCTTTCTTTTCATAGAGCAGTTTGGAAACACTTTGTTTGTAAAGTCTGCAAGTGCTTATTTGGACTTCTTTGAGGCCTTCTTTGGAAACGGGAGTTCTTCATATAATGCTAGACAGAAGAATTCTCAGTCACTTCTTTGTGTTGTGGTATTCAAGTCACAGAGTTGAAACTTCCTTTAGACAGAGCAGTTTTGAAAAACTCTTTCTGTGGAATTTGCAAGTGGAGATTTCAAGCGATTTGAGGCTAATCTTTGAAATGGAAATATCTTCGTGTAAAAACTACACAGAATCATTCTCAGAAACTCCTTTGTTATGTGTGCGTTCAGCTCACAGAGTTCCACCTTTCTTTTCATAGAGCAGTTTGGAAAGACTCTGTCTGTAAAGTCTGCAAGTGATTACTTGGACCCCTTTGAGGACTTCGTTGGAAGCGGGATTTTTTCATTTACTGCCAGACAGAAGAATTCTCAGTAAATCCTTTGTGTTGTGTGTATTCAACTCACAGAGTGGAACCTTCCTTTATTCAGAGCAGTTTTGAAACACTCTTTTTGTGGAATTTGCAAGTGGAGATTTCAAGCGAATTCACGCCAATCTTAGACATGGAAACATCTTCGTATTAAAAGTACACAGAGTCATTCGTAGAAACTAGTTTGTGATGTGTGCCTTCAACTCACAGAGTTTAACCTTTCTTTTCATAGAGTAGTTTGGAAACACTCTATTTGTAAAGTCTGCAAGTGGATATTTGGACCTCTTTGAGGCCTTCGTTCGAAAAGGGATTTCTTCATACAACGCTAGACAGAAGAATTCTCAGTAACTTCTTTGTGTTGTTTGTATTCAACTCACAGATTTGAACCTTCCTTTAGAGAGAGCAGATTTGAAACACTCTGTTTTTGGAATTTGCAAGTGCAGATTTCAAGCGCTTCTAGGCCTATGGCAGAAAAGGAAATATCTTCGTATAAAAACTACACAGAATCATTCTCAACAACTACTTTGTGATGTGTGCGTTCAACTCCCAGAGTTTAACCTTACTTTTCATAGAGCAGTTTGGAAACACTCTGTTTGTAAAGCCTGCAAGTGCTTTTTTGGACTTCATTGAGGCCTTCGTTGGAAACGGGATTTCTTCATATAATGCTAGACAGAAGAATTCTCAGTCACTTCTTTGTGTTGTGTGTATTCAAGTCACAGAGTTGAACCTTCTTTTAGACAGAGCAGTTTTGAAAAATTCTTTCTGTGGAATTTGCAATTGGAGATTTTAAGAGATTTGAGGCTAATCTTTGAAATGGAAATATCTTCGTGTAAAAACTACACAGAATCATTCTCAGAAACTGCTTTGTTATCTGTGCCTTCAGTTCACAGAGTTTCACCTTTCTCTTCATAGAGCAGTTTGGAAAGACTCTGTCTGTAAAGTCTGCAAGTGATTAGTTAGACCCCTTTGAGGCCTTCGTTGGAAGCGGGATTTCTCATTTACTGCTAGACAGAAGAATTCTCAGTAAATCCTTTGTGTTGTGTGTATTCAACTCACAGAGTGGAACCTTCCTTTATTCAGAGCACTTTTGAAACACTCTTTTTGTGGAATTTGCAAGTGGAGATTTCAAGCGAATTCACGCCAATCTTAGACATGGAAACATCTTCGTATTAAAAGTACACAGAGTCATTCGTAGAAACTAGTTTGTGATGTGTGCCTTCAACTCACAGAGTTTAACCTTTCTTTTCATAGAGCAGTTGGGAAACACTCTATTTGTAAAGTCTGCAAGTGGATATTTGGACCTCTTTGAGGCCTTCGTTGGAAACGGGATTTCTTCATATAACGCTAGACAGAAGAATTCTCAGTAACTTCTTTGTGTTGTTTGTATTCAACTCACAGATTTGAACCTTCCTTTAGAGAGAGCAGATTTGAAACACTCTCTTTTTGGAATTTGCAAGTGCAGATTACAAGCGCTTCTAGGCCTATGGCAGAAAAGGAAATATCTTCGTATAAAAACTACACAGAATCATTCTCAACAACTACTTTGTGATGTGTGCGTTCAACTCACAGAGTTTAACCTTTCTTTTCATAGAGCAGTTTGGAAACACTCTGTTTGTAAAGTCTGCAGGTGCTTATTTGGACTTCTTTGAGGCCTTCGTTGGAAACGGGATTTCTTCATATAATGCTAGACAGAAGAATTCTCAGTCACTTCTTTGTGTTGTGTGTATTCAAGTCACAGAGTTGAACCTTCCTTTAGACAGAGCAGTTTTGAAAAATTCTTTCTGTGGAATTTGCAAGTGGAGATTTCAAGCGATTTGAGGCTAATCTTTGAAATGGAAATATCTTCGTGTAAAAACTACACAGAATCATTCTCAGAAACTGCTTTGTCATCTGTGCGTTCAGTCCACAGAGTTTCACCTTTCTCTTCGTAGAGCAGTTTGGAAAGCCTCTGTCTGTAAAGTCTGCAAGTGATTAGTTAGACCCCTTTGAGGCCTTCGTTGGAAGCGGGATTTCTCATTTACTGCTAGACAGAAGAATTCTCAGTAAATCCTTTGTGTTGTGTGTATTCAACTCACAGAGTGGAACCTTCCTTTATTCAGAGCAGTTTTGAAACACTCTTTTTGTGGAATTTGCAAGTGGAGATTTCAAGCGATTTGACGCCAATCTTAGACATGGAAATATCTTCATATTAAAAGTACACAGAGTCATTCGCAGAAACTAGTTTGTGATGTGTGCCTTCAACTCACGGAGTTTAACCTTTCTTTTCATAGAGCAGTTTGGAAACACTCTATTTGTAAAGTCTGCAAGTGGATATTTGGACCTCTTTGAGGCCTTCGTTGGAAACGGGATTTCTTCATATAACGCTAGACAGAAGAATTTTCAGTAACTTCTTTGTGTTGTGTGTATTCAACTCACAGAGTTCAACTTTTCTTTAGAGAGAGCAGGGTTGAAACACTCTTTTTGTGGAATTTGCTAGTGCAGATTTCAAACGCTTCGAAGACAGTGATAGCAAAGGATATATCTTCGTATTAAAACTAGACAAAATCATTCTCAGAAAACACTTTGTGATGTGTGTGTTCAACTCACAGAGTTTAACCTTTCTTTAATCGAGCAGTTTGGAAATACACTCTTTGTAAGTCTGCAGGTGGATAATTGGCCCTCTTTGAGCCCTTCGTTGGAAACGGGATTTCCTCATATAATGCTAGACAGAAGAATTCTCAGTAACTTCTTTGTGTTGTTTGTATTCAACTCACAGATTTGAACCTTCCTTTAGAGAGAGCAGATTTGAAACACTCTGTTTTTGGAATTTGCAAGTGCAGATTTCAAGCGCTTCTAGGCCTATGGCAGAAAAGGAAATATCTTTGTATAAAAACTACACAGAGTCATTCGCAGAAACTAGTTTGTGATGTGTGCCTTCAACTCACCGAGTTTAACCTTTCTTTTCATAGAGCAGTTTGGAAACACTCTCTTTGTAAAGTCTGCAAGTGGATATTTGGACCTCTTTGAGGCCTTCGTTGGAAACGGGATTTCTTCATATAACGCTAGACAGAAGAATTCTCAGTCACTTCTTTGTGTTGTGTGTATTCAAGTCACAGAGTTGAACTTTCCTTTAGACAGAGCAGTTTTGAAAAACTGTTTCTGTGGAATTTGCAAGTGGAGATTTCAAGCGATTTGAGGCTAATCTTTGAAATGGAAATATCTTCGTGTAAAAACTACACAGAATCATTCGTCAGAAACTGCTTTGTTATGTGTGCGTTCAGCTCACAGAGTTCCACCTTTCTTTTCATAGAGCAGTTTGGAAAGACTCTGTCTGTAAAGTCTGCAAGTGATTACTTGGACCCCTTTGAGGACTTCGTTGGAAGCGGGATTTTTTCATTTACTGCTAGACAGAAGAATTCTCAGTAAATCCTTTGTGTTGTGTGTATTCAACTCACAGAGTGGAACCTTCCTTTATTCAGAGCAGTTTTGAAAAACACTTTTTGTGGAATTTGCAAGTGGAGATTTCAAGCGATTTGACGCCAATCTTAGACATGGAAATATCTTCATATTAAAAGTACACAGAGTCATTCGCAGAAACTAGTTTGTGATGTGTGCCTTCAACTCACGGAGTTTAACCTTTCTTTTCATAGAGCAGTTTGGAAACACTCTATCTGTAAAGTCTGCAAGTGGATATTTGGACCTCTTTGAGGCCTTCGTTGGAAACGGGATTTCTTCATATAACGCTAGACAGAAGAATTCTCAGTAACTTCTTTGTGTTGTGTGCATTCAACTCACAGAGTTGAACCTTTCTTTAGAGAGAGCAGAGTTGAAACACTCTGTTTTTGGAATTTGCAATTGCAGATTTCAAGCGATTCTAGGCCTATGGCAGAAAAGGAAATATCTTCGTATAAAAACTACACAGAATCATTCTCAACAACTACTTTGTGATGTGTGCGTTCAACTAACAGAGTTTAACCTTTCTTTTCATAGAGCAGTTTGGAAACACTCTGTTTGTAAAGCCTGCAAGTGCTTTTTTGGACTTCATTGAGGCCTTCGTTGGAAACGGGATTTCTTCATATAATGCTAGACAGAAGAATTCTCAGTCACTTCTTTGTGTTGTGTGTATTCAAGTCACAGAGTTGAACCTTCCTTTAGACAGAGCAGTTTTGAAAAATTCTTTCTGTGGAATTTGCAAGTGGAGATTTCAAGCGATTTGAGGCTAATCTTTGAAATGGAAATATCTTCGTGTAAAAACTACACAGAATCATTCTCAGAAACTGCTTTGTCATCTGTGCGTTCAGTTCACAGAGTTTCACCTTTCTCTTCATAGAGCAGTTTGGAAAGACTCTGTCTGTAAAGTCTGCAAGTGATTAGTTAGACCCCTTTGAGGCCTTCGTTGGAAGCGGGATTTCTCATTTACTGCTAGACAGAAGAATTCTCAGTAAATCCTTTGTGTTGTGTGTATTCAACTCACAGAGTGGAACCTTCCTTTATTCAGAGCACTTTTGAAACACTCTTTTTGTGGAATTTGCAAGTGGAGATTTCAAGCGAATTCACGCCAATCTTAGACATGGAAACATCTTCGTATTGAAAGTACACAGAGTCATTCGCAGAAACTAGTTTGTGATGTGTGCCTTCAACTCACGGAGTTTAACCTTTCTTTTCATAGAGCAGTTTGGAAACACTCTATTTGTAAAGTCTGCAAGTGGATATTTGGACCTCTTTGAGGCCTTCGTTGGAAACGGGATTTCTTCATATAACGCTAGACAGAAGAATTCTCAGTAACTTCTTTGTGTTGTTTGTATTCAACTCACAGATTTGAACCTTCCTTTGGAGAGAGCAGATTTGAAACACTCTGTTTTTGGAATTTGCAAGTGCAGATTGCAAGCGCTTCTAGGCCTATGGCAGAAAAGGAAATATCTTCGTATAAAAACTACACAGAATCATTCTCAACAACTACTTTGTGATGTGTGCGTTCAACTCACAGAGTTTAACCTTTCTTTTCATAGAGCAGTTTGGAAACACTCTGTTTGTAAAGCCTGCAAGTGCTTTTTTGGACTTCATTGAGGCCTTCGTTGGAAACGGGATTTCTTCATATAATGCTAGACAGAAGAATTCTCAGTCACTTCTTTGTGTTGTGTGTATTCAAGTCACAGAGTTGAACCTTCCTTTACACAGAGCAGTTTTGAAAAACTCTTTCTGTGGAATTTGCAAGTGGAGATTTCAAGCGATTTGAGGCTAATCTTTGAAATGGAAATATCTTCGTGTAAAAACTACACAGAATCATTCTCAGAAACTGCTTTGTTATGTGTGCGTTCAGCTCACAGAGTTCCACCTTTCTTTTCATAGAGCAGTTTGGAAAGACTCTGTCTGTAAAGTCTGCAAGTGATTACTTGGACCCCTTTGAGGACTTCGTTGGAAGCGGGATTTTTTCATTTACTGCTAGACAGAAGAATTCTCAGTAAATCCTTTGTGTTGTGTGTATTCAACTCACAGAGTGGAACCTTCCTTTATTCAGAGCACTTTTGAAACACTCTTTTTGTGGAATTTGCAAGTGGAGATTTCAAGCGAATTCACGCCAATCTTAGACATGGAAACATCTTCGTATTAAAAGTACACAGAGTCATTCGCAGAAACTAGTTTGTGATGTGTGCCTTCAACTCACGGAGTTTAACCTTTCTTTTCATAGAGCAGTTTGGAAACACTCTATTTGTAAAGTCTGCAAGTGGATATTTGGACCTCTTTGAGGCCTTCGTTGGAAACGGGATTTCTTCATATAACGCTAGACAGAAGAATTCTCAGTAACTTCTTTGTGTTGTTTGTATTCAACACACAGAGTTGAACCTTCCTTTAGAGAGAGCAGATTTGAAACACTCTGTTTTTGGAATTTGCAAGTGCAGATTTCAAGCGCTTCTAGGCCTATGGCAGAAAAGGAAATATCTTCGTATAAAAACTACACAGAATCATTCTCAACAACTACTTTGTGATGTGTGCGTTCAACTCACAGAGTTTAACCTTTCTTTTCATAGAGCAGTTTGGAAACACTCTGTTTGTAAAGTCTGCAGGTGCTTATTTGGACTTCTTTGAGGCCTTCGTTGGAAACGGGATTTCTTCATATAATGCTAGACAGAAGAATTCTCAGTCACTTCTTTGTGTTGTGTGTATTCAAGTCACAGAGTTGAACCTTCCTTTACACAGAGCAGTTTTGAAAAACTCTTTCTGTGGAATTTGCAAGTGGAGATTTCAAGCGATTTGAGGCTAATCTTTGAAATGGAAATAGCTTCGTGTAAAAACTACACAGAATCATTCTCAGAAACTGCTTTGTTATGTGTGCGTTCAGCTCACAGAGTTCCACCTTTCTTTTCATAGAGCAGTTTGGAAAGACTCTGTCTGTAAAGTCTGCAAGTGATTACTTGGACCCCTTTGAGGACTTCGTTGGAAGCGGGATTTTTTCATTTACTGCTAGACAGAAGAATTCTCAGTAAATCCTTTGTGTTGTGTGTATTCAACTCACAGAGTGGAACCTTCCTTTATTCAGAGCAGTTTTGAAAAACACTTTTTGTGGAATTTGCAAGTGGAGATTTCAAGCGATTTGACGTCAATCTTAGACATGGAAATATCTTCATATTAAAAGTACACAGAATCATTCGTAGAAACTAGTTTGTGATGTGTGCCTTCAACTCACAGAGTTTAACCTTTCTTTTCATAGAGCAGTTCGGAAACACTCTATTTGTAAAGTCTGCAAGTGGATATTTGGACCTCTTTGAGGCCATCGTTGGAAAAGGGATTTCTTCATATAACGCTAGACAGAAGAATTTTCAGTAACTTCTTTGTGTTGTGTGTATTCAACTCACAGAGTTCAACTTTTCTTTAGAGAGAGCAGAGTTGAAACACTCTTTTTGTGGAATTTGCTAGTGCAGATTTCAAACGCTTCGAAGACAGTGATAGCAAAGGGTATATCTTCGTATTAAAACTAGACAAAATCATTCTCAGAAAACACTTTGTGATGTGTGTGTTCAACTCACAGAGTTTAACCTTTCTTTAATCGAGCAGTTTGGAAATACACTCTTTGTAAGTCTGCAGGTGGATAATTGGCCCTCTTTGAGCCCTTCGTTGGAAACGGGATTTCCTCATATAATGCTAGACAGAAGAATTCTCAGTCACTTCTTTGTGTTGTGTGTATTCAAGTCACAGAGTTGAACCTTCCTTTACACAGAGCAGTTTTGAAAAACTCTTTCTGTGGAATTTGCAAGTGGAGATTTCAAGCGATTTGAGGCTAATCTTTGAAATGGAAATAGCTTCGTGTAAAAACTACACAGAATCATTCTCAGAAACTGCTTTGTTATGTGTGCGTTCAGCTCACAGAGTTCCACCTTTCTTTTCATAGAGCAGTTTGGAAAGACTCTGTCTGTAAAGTCTGCAAGTGATTACTTGGACCCCTTTGAGGACTTCGTTGGAAGCGGGATTTTTTCATTTACTGCTAGACAGAAGAATTCTCAGTAAATCCTTTGTGTTGTGTGTATTCAACTCACAGAGTGGAACCTTCCTTTATTCAGAGCAGTTTTGAAACACTCTTTTTGTGGAATTTGCAAGTGGAGATTTCAAGCGATTTGACGACAATCTTAGACATGGAAATATCTTCA
This sequence comes from Homo sapiens, assembly GCF_000001405.40. Classification (NCBI taxonomy): domain Eukaryota; kingdom Metazoa; phylum Chordata; class Mammalia; order Primates; family Hominidae; genus Homo; species Homo sapiens. Next base: position 41,286,633 of record NC_000010.11, read on the forward strand.
TATTAAAAGTACACAGAAGTCATTCGTAGAAACTAGGTTGTGATGTGTGCCTTCAACTCACAGAGTTTAACCTTTCTTTTCATAGAGCAGTTCGGAAACACTCTATTTGTAAAGTCTGCAAGTGGATATTTGGACCTCTTTGAGGCCTTCGTTGGAAACGGGATTTCTTCATATAACGCTAGACAGAAGAATTCTCAGTAACTTCTTTGTGTTGTTTGTATTCAACTCACAGATTTGAACCTTCCTTTAGAGAGAGCAGATTTGAAACACTCTGTTTTTGGAATTTGCAAGTGCAGATTTCAAGCGCTTCTAGGCCTATGGCAGAAAAGGAAATATCTTCGTATAAAAACTACACAGAATCATTCTCAACAACTACTTTGTGATGTGTGCGTTCAGCTCACAGAGTTTAACCTTTCTTTTCATAGAGCAGTTTGGAAACACTCTGTTTGTAAAGTCTGCAGGTGCTTATTTGGACTTCTTTGAGGCCTTCGTTGGAAACGGGATTTCTTCATATAATGCTAGACAGAAGAATTCTCAGTCACTTCTTTGTGTTGTGTGTATTCAAGTCACAGAGTTGAACCTTCCTTTAGACAGAGCAGTTTTGAAAAGTTCTTTCTGTGTAATTTGCAAGTGGAGATTTCAAGCGATTTGAGGCTAATCTTTGAAATGGAAATATCTTCGTGTAAAAACTACACAGAATCATTCTCAGAAACTGCTTTGTCATCTGTGCGTTCAGTTCACAGAGTTTCACCTTTCTCTTCATAGAGCAGTTTGGAAAGACTCTGTCTGTAAAGTCTGCAAGTGATTAGTTAGACCCCTTTGAGGCCTTCGTTGGAAGCGGGATTTCTCATTTACTGCTAGACAGAAGAATTCTCAGTAAATCCTTTGTGTTGTGTGTATTCAACTCACAGAGTGGAACCTTCCTTTATTCAGAGCAGTTTTGAAACACTCTTTTTGTGGAATTTGCAAGTGGAGATTTCAAGCGAATTCACGCCAATCTTAGACATGGAAACATCTTCGTATTAAAAGTACACAGAGTCATTCGTAGAAACTAGTTTGTGATGTGTGCCTTCAACTCACAGAGTTTAACCTTTCTTTTCATAGAGCAGTTGGGAAACACTCTATTTGTAAAGTCTGCAAGTGGATATTTGGACCTCTTTGAGGCCTTCGTTGGAAACGGGATTTCTTCATATAACGCTAGACAGAAGAATTCTCAGTAACTTCTTTGTGTTGTTTGTATTCAACTCACAGATTTGAACCTTCCTTTAGAGAGAGCAGATTTGAAACACTCTGTTTTTGGAATTTGCAAGTGCAGATTTCAAGCGCTTCTAGGCCTATGGCAGAAAAGGAAATATCTTCATATAAAAACTACACAGAATCATTCTCAGAAAACTCTTTGTGATGTGTGTGTTCAACTCACAGAGTTTAACCTTTCTTTTCATAGAGCAGTTTGGAAACACTCTGTTTGTAAAGCCTGCAAGTGCTTTTTTGTACTTCATTGAGGCCTTCGTTGGAAACGGGATTTCTTCATACAACGCTAGACAGAAGAATTCTCAGTCACTTCTTTGTGTTGTGTGTATTCAAGTCACAGAGTTGAACCTTCCTTTACACAGAGCAGTTTTGAAAAACTCTTTCTGTGGAATTTGCAAGTGGAGATTTCAAGCGATTTGAGGCTAATCTTTGAAATGGAAATATCTTCGTGTAAAAACTACACAGAATCATTCTCAGAAACTGCTTTGTTATGTGTGCGTTCAGCTCACAGAGTTCCACCTTTCTTTTCATAGAGCAGTTTGGAAAGACTCTGTCTGTAAAGTCTGCAAGTGATTACTTGGACCCCTTTGAGGACTTCGTTGGAAGCGGGATTTTTTCATTTACTGCCAGACAGAAGAATTCTCAGTAAATCCTTTGTGTTGTGTGTATTCAACTCACAGAGTGGAACCTTCCTTTATTCAGAGCAGTTTTGAAACACTCTTTTTGTGGAATTTGCAAGTGGAGATTTCAAGCGAATTCACGCCAATCTTAGACATGGAAACATCTTCGTATTAAAAGTACACAGAGTCATTCGTAGAAACTAGTTTGTGATGTGTGCCTTCAACTCACAGAATTTAACCTTTCTTTTCATAGAGCAGTTCGGAAACACTCTATTTGTAAAGTCTGCAAGTGGATATTTGGACCTCTTTGAGGCCTTCGTTGGAAACGGGATTTCTTCATATAACGCTAGACAGAAGAATTCTCAGTAACTTCTTTGTGTTGTGTGTATTCAACTCACAGAGTTGAACCCTTCTTTAGAGAGAGCAGAGTTGAAACACTCTTTTTGTGGAATTTGCTAGTGCAGATTTCAAACGCTTCGAAGACAGTGATAGAAAAGGATATATCTTCGTATTAAAACTAGACAAAGTCATTCGCAGAAACTAGTTTGTGATGTGTGCGTTCAACTCACAGAGTTTAACCTTTCTTTTCATAGAGCAGTTTGGAAACACTCTGTTTGTAAAGTCTGCAGGTGCTTATTTGGACTTCTTTGAGGCCTTCGTTGGAAACGGGATTTCTTCATATAATGCTAGACAGAAGAATTCTCAGTCACTTCTTTGTGTTGTGTGTATTCAAGTCACAGAGTTGAACCTTCCTTTAGACAGAGCAGTTTTGAAAAATTCTTTCTGTGTAATTTGCAAGTGGAGATTTCAAGCGATTTGAGGCTAATCTTTGAAATGGAAATATCTTCGTGTAAAAACTACACAGAATCATTCTCAGAAACTGCTTTGTCATCTGTGCGTTCAGTTCACAGAGTTTCACCTTTCTCTTCATAGAGCAGTTTGGAAAGACTCTGTCTGTAAAGTCTGCAAGTGATTAGTTAGACCCCTTTGAGGCCTTCGTTGGAAGCGGGATTTCTCATTAACTGCTAGACAGAAGAATTCTCAGTAAATCCTTTGTGTTGTGTGTATTCAACTCACAGAGTGGAACCTTCCTTTAGAGAGAGCAGAGTTGAAACGCTCTGTTTTTGGAATTTGGAAGTGCAGATTTCAAGGGATTCTAGGCCTATGGCAGAAAAGGAAATGTCTTCGTATAAAAACTACACAGAATCATTCTCAACAACTACTTTGTGATGTGTGCGTTCAACTCACAAAGTTTAACCTTTCTTTTCATAGAGAAGTTTGGAAACACTCTGTTTGTAAAGCCTGCAAGTGCTTTTTTGGACTTCATTGAGGCCTTCGTTGGAAACGGGATTTCTTCATATAATGCTAGACAGAAGAATTCTCAGTAAATCCTTTGTGTTGTGTGTATTCAACTCACAGAGTGGAACCTTCCTTTATTCAGAGCAGTTTTGAAACACTCTTTTTGTGGAATTTGCAAGTGGAGATTTCAAGCGATTTGACGCCAATCTTAGACATGGAAATATCTTCATATTAAAAGTACACAGAATCATTCTCAACAACTACTTTGTGATGTGTGCGTTCAACTCACAGCAGGTTAACCTTTCTTTTCATAGAGCAGTTTGGAAACACTCTGTTTGTAAAGCCTGCAAGTGCTTTTTTGGACTTCATTGAGGCCTTCGTTGGAAACGGGATTTCTTCATACAACGCTAGACAGAAGAATTCTCAGTAACTTCTTTGTGTTGTGTGTATTCAACTCACAGAGTTGAACCTTTCTTTAGAGAGAACAGAGTTGAAACACTCTGTTTTTGGAATTTGCAAGTGTAGATTTCAAGCGATTCTAGGCCTATGGCAGAAAAGAAAATATCTTCGTATAAAAACTACACAGAATCATTCTCAGAAAACACTTTGTGATGTGTGTGTTCAACTCACAGAGTTTAACCTTTCTTTAATCGAGCAGTTTGGAAATACACTCTTTGTAAGTCTGCAGGTGGATAATTGGCCCTCTTTGAGCCCTTCGTTGGAAACGGGATTTCCTCATATAATGCTAGACAGAAGAATTCTCAGTCACTTCTTTGTGTTGTGTGTATTCAAGTCACAGAGTTGAACCTTCCTTTACACAGAGCAGTTTTGAAAAACTCTTTCTGTGGAATTTGCAAGTGGAGATTTCAAGCGATTTGAGGCTAATCTTTGAAATGGAAATAGCTTCGTGTAAAAACTACACAGAATCATTCTCAGAAACTGCTTTGTCATCTGTGCGTTCAGTTCACAGAGTTTCACCTTTCTCTTCATAGAGCAGTTTGGAAAGACTCTGTCTCTAAAGTCTGCAAGTGATTAGTTAGACCCCTTTGAGGCCTTCGTTGGAAGTGGGATTTCTCATTTACTGCTAGACAGAAGAATTCTCAGTAAATCCTTTGTGTTGTGTGTATTCAACTCACAGAGTGGAACCTTCCTTTATTCAGAGCAGTTTTGAAACACTCTTTTTGTGGAATTTGCAAGTGGAGATTTCAAGCGATTTGACGCCAATCTTAGACATGGAAATATCTTCATATTAAAAGTACACTGAGTCATTCGTAGAAACTAGTTTGTGATGTGTGCCTTCAACTCACAGAGTTTAACCTTTCTTTTCATAGAGCAGTTGGGAAACACTCTATTTGTAAAGTCTGCAAGTGAATATTTGGACCTCTTTGAGGCCTTCGTTGGAAACGGGATTTCTTCATATAACGCTAGACAGAAGAATTCTCAGTAACTTCTTTGTGTTGTTTGTATTCAACACACAGATTTGAACCTTCCTTTAGAGAGAGCAGATTTGAAACACTCTGTTTTTGGAATTTGCAAGTGCAGATTTCAAGCGCTTCTAGGCCTATGGCAGAAAAGGAAATATCTTCGTATAAAAACTACACAGAATCATTCTCAACAACTACTTTGTGATGTGTGCGTTCAACTCACAGAGTTTAACCTTTCTTTTCATAGAGCAGTTTGGAAACACTCTGTTTGTAAAGCCTGCAAGTGCTTTTTTGGACTTCATTGAGGCCTTCGTTGGAAACGGGATTTCTTCATATAATGCTAGACAGAAGAATTCTCAGTCACTTCTTTGTGTTGTGTGTATTCAAGTCACAGAGTTGAACCTTCCTTTACACAGAGCAGTTTTGAAAAACTCTTTCTGTGGAATTTGCAAGTGGAGATTTCAAGCGATTTGAGGCTAATCTTTGAAATGGAAATAGCTTTGTGTAAAAACTACACAGAATCATTCTCAGAAACTGCTTTGTTATGTGTGCGTTCAGCTCACAGAGTTCCACCTTTCTTTTCATAGAACAGTTTGGAAAGACTCTGTCTGTAAAGTCTGCAAGTGATTACTTGGACCCCTTTGAGGACTTCGTTGGAAGCGGGATTTTTTCATTTACTGCTAGACAGAAGAATTCTCAGTAAATCCTTTGTGTTGTGTGTATTCAACTCACAGAGTGGAACCTTCCTTTATTCAGAGCAGTTTTGAAACACTCTTTTTGTGGAATTTGCAAGTGGAGATTTCAAGCGAATTCACGCCAATCTTAGACATGGAAACATCTTCGTATTAAAAGTACACAGAGTCATTCGCAGAAACTAGTTTGTGATGTGTGCCTTCAACTCACAGAGTTTAACCTTTCTTTTCATAGAGCAGTTTGGAAACACTCTATTTGTAAAGTCTGCAAGTGGATATTTGGACCTCTTTGAGGCCTTCGTTGGAAACGGGATTTCTTCATATAACGCTAGACAGAAGAATTCTCAGTAACTTCTTTGTGTTGTGTGTATTCAACTCACAGAGGTGAACCTTTCTTTAGAGAGAGCAGAGTTGAAACACTCTTTTTGTGGAATTTGCTAGTGCAGATTTCAAACGCTTCGAAGACAGTGATAGAAAAGGATATATCTTCGTATTAAAACTAGACAAAATCATTCTCAGAAAACACTTTGTGATGTGTGTGTTCAACTCACAGAGTTTAACCTTTCTTTAATCGAGCAGTTTGGAAATACACTCTTTGTAAGTCTGCAGGTGGATAATTGGCCCTCTTTGAGCCCTTCATTGGAAACGGGATTTCCTCATATAATGCTAGACAGAAGAATTCTCAGTCACTTCTTTGTGTTGTGTGTATTCAAGTCACAGAGTTGAACCTTCCTTTACACAGAGCAGTTTTGAAAAACTCTTTCTGTGGAATTTGCAAGTGGAGATTTCAAGCGATTTGAGGCTAATCTTTGAAATGGAAATATCTTCGTGTAAAAACTACACAGAATCATTCTCAGAAACTGCTTTGTCATCTGTGCGTTCAGTTCACAGAGTTTCACCTTTCTCTTCATAGAGCAGTTTGGAAAGACTCTGTCTGTAAAGTCTGCAAGTGATTAGTTAGACCCCTTTGAGGCCTTCGTTGGAAGCGGGATTTCTCATTTACTGCTAGACAGAAGAATTCTCAGTAAATCCTTTGTGTTGTGTGTATTCAACTCACAGAGTGGAACCTTCCTTTATTCAGAGCAGTTTTGAAACACTCTTTTTGTGGAATTTGCAAGTGGAGATTTCAAGCGATTTGACGCCAATCTTAGACATGGAAATATCTTCATATTAAAAGTACACAGAGTCATTCGTAGAAACTAGTTTGTGATGTGTGCCTTCAACTCACAGAGTTTAACCTTTCTTTTCATAGAGCAGTTGGGAAACACTCTATTTGTAAAGTCTGCAAGTGGATATTTGGACCTCTTTGAGGCCTTCGTTGGAAACGGGATTTCTTCATATAACGCTAGACAGAAGAATTCTCAGTAACTTCTTTGTGTTGTTTGTATTCAACTCACAGATTTGAACCTTCCTTTAGAGAGAGCAGATTTGAAACACTCTGTTTTTGGAATTTGCAAGTGCAGATTACAAGCGCTTCTAGGCCTATGGCAGAAAAGGAAATATCTTCGTATAAAAACTACACAGAATCATTCTCAACAACTACTTTGTGATGTGTGCGTTCAACTCACAGAGTTTAACCTTTCTTTTCATAGAGCAGTTTGGAAACACTCTGTTTGTAAAGCCTGCAAGTGCTTTTTTGGACTTTATTGAGGCCTTCGTTGGAAACGGGATTTCTTCATACAACGCTAGACAGAAGAATTCTCAGTCACTTCTTTGTGTTGTGTGTATTCAAGTCACAGAGTTGAACCTTCCTTTACACAGAGCAGTTTTGAAAAACTCTTTCTGCGGAATTTGCAAGTGGAGATTTCAAGCGATTTGAGGCTAATCTTTGAAATGGAAATATCTTCGTGTAAAACCTACACAGAATCATTCTCAGAAACTGCTTTGTTATGTGTGCGTTCAGCTCACAGAGTTCCACCTTTCTTTTCATAGAGCAGTTTGGAAAGACTCTGTCTGTAAAGTCTGCAAGTGATTACTTGGACCCCTTTGAGGACTTCGTTGGAAGCGGGATTTTTTCATTTACTGCTATACAGAAGAATTCTCAGTAAATCCTTTGTGTTGTGTGTATTCAACTCACAGAGTGGAACCTTCCTTTATTCAGAGCAGTTTTGAAACACTCTTTTTGTGGAATTTGCAAGTGGAGATTTCAAGCGATTTGACGCCAATCTTAGACATGGAAATATCTTCATATTAAAAGTACACAGAGTCATTCGCAGAAACTAGTTTGTGATGTGTGCCTTCAACTCACGGAGTTTAACCTTTCTTTTCATAGAGCAGTTTGGAAACACTCTATTTGTAAAGTCTGCAAGTGGATATTTGGACCTCTTTGAGGCCTTCGTTGGAAACGGGATTTCTTCATATAACGCTAGACAGAAGAATCCTCAGTAACTTCTTTGTGTTGTTTGTATTCAACTCACAGATTTGAACCTTCCTTTAGAGAGAGCAGATTTGAAACACTCTGGTTTTGGAATTTGCAAGTGCAGATTACAAGCGCTTCTAGGCCTATGGCAGAAAAGGAAATATCTTCGTATAAAAACTACACAGAATCATTCTCAACAACTACTTTGTGATGTGTGCGTTCAACTCACAGAGTTTAACCTTTCTTTTCATAGAGCAGTTTGGAAACACTCTGTTTGTAAAGTCTGCAGGTGCTTATTTGGACTTCTTTGAGGCCTTCGTTGGAAACGGGATTTCTTCATATAATGCTAGACAGAAGAATTCTCAGTCACTTCTTTGTGTTGTGTGTATTCAAGTCACAGAGTTGAACCTTCCTTTACACAGAGCAGTTTTGAAAAACTCTTTCTGTGGAATTTGCAAGTGGAGATTTCAAGCGATTTGAGGCTAATCTTTGAAATGGAAATAGCTTCGTGTAAAAACTACACAGAATCATTCTCAACAACTACTTTGTGATGTGTGCGTTCAACTCACAAAGTTTAACCTTTCTTTTCATAGAGCAGTTTGGAAACACGCTGTTTGTAAAGCCTGCAAGTGCTTTTTTGGACTTCATTGAGGTCTTCGTTGGAAACGGGATTTCTTCATATAATGCTAGACAGAAGAATTCTCAGTAAATCATTTGTGTTGCGTTTATTCAACTCACAGAGTGGAACCTTCCTTTATTCAGAGCAGTTTTGAAACACTCTTTTTGTGGAATTTGCAAGTGGAGATTTCAAGCGATTTGACGCCAATCTTAGACATGGAAATATCTTCATATTAAAAGTACACAGAGTCATTCGCAGAAACTAGTTTGTGATGTGTGCCTTCAACTCACAGAGTTTAACCTTTCTTTTCATAGAGCAGTTTGGAAACACTCTATTTGTAAAGTCTGCAAGTGGATATTTGGACCTCTTTGAGGCCTTCGTTGGAAACGGGATTTCTTCATATAACGCTAGACAGAAGAATTCTCAGTAACTTCTTTGTGTTGTGTGTATTCAACTCACAGAGTTGAACCTTTCTTGAGAGAGAGCAGAGTTGAAACACTCTTTCTGTGGAATTTGCTAGTGCAGATTTCAAACGCTTCGAAGACAGTGATAGAAAAGGATATATCTTCGTATTAAAACTAGACAAAATCATTCTCAGAAAACACTTTGTGATGTGTGTGTTCAACTCACAGAGTTTAACCTTTCTTTAATCGAGCAGTTTGGAAATACACTCTTTGTAAGTCTGCAGCTGGATAATTGTCCCTCTAAGAGCCCTTCGTTGGAAACGGGATTTCCTCATATAATGCTAGACAGAAGAATTCTCAGTCACTTCTTTGTGTTGTGTGTATTCAAGTCACAGAGTTGAACCTTCCTTTACACAGAGCAGTTTTGAAAAACTCTTTCTGTGGAATTTGCAAGTGGAGATTTCAAGCGATTTGAGGCTAATCTTTGAAATGGAAATATCTTCGTGTAAAAACTACACAGAATCATTCTCAGAAACTGCTTTGTCATCTGTGCGTTCAGTTCACAGAGTTTCACCTTTCTCTTCATAGAGCAGTTTGGAAAGACTCTGTCTGTAAAGTCTGCAAGTGATTAGTTAGACCCCTTTGAGGCCTTCGTTGGAAGCGGGATTTCTCATTTACTGCTAGACAGAAGAATTCTCAGTAAATCCTTTGTGTTGTGTGTATTCAACTCACAGAGTGGAACCTTCCTTTATTCAGAGCAGTTTTGAAAAACACTTTTTGTGGAATTTGCAAGTGGAGATTTCAAGCGATTTGACGCCAATCTTAGACATGGAAATATCTTCATATTAAAAGTACACAGAGTCATTCGTAGAAACTAGTTTGTGATGTGTGCCTTCAACTCACAGAGTTTAACCTTTCTTTTCATAGAGCAGTTGGGAAACACTCTATTTGTAAAGTCTGCAAGTGGATATTTGGACCTCTTTGAGGCCTTCGTTGGAAACGGGATTTCTTCATATAACGCTAGACAGAAGAATTCTCAGTAACTTCTTTGTGTTGTTTGTATTCAACACACAGATTTGAACCTTCCTTTAGAGAGAGCAGATTTGAAACATTCTGTTTTTGGAATTTGCAAGTGCAGATTTCAAGCGATTCTAGGCCTATGGCAGAAAAGGAAATATCTTCGTATAAAAACTACACAGAATCATTCTCAGAAAACACTTTGTGATGTGTGTGTTCAACTCACAGAGTTTAACCTTTCTTTAATCGAGCAGTTTGGAAATACACTCGTTGTAAGTCTGCAGCTGGATAATTGTCCCTCTATGAGCCCTTCGTTGGAAACGGGATTTCCTCATATAATGCTAGACAGAAGAATTCTCAGTAACTTCTTTGTGTTGTTTGTATTCAACTCACAGATTTGAACCTTCCTTTGGAGAGAGCAGATTTGAAACACTCTGTTTTTGGAATTTGCAAGTGCAGATTGCAAGCGCTTCTAGGCCTATGGCAGAAAAGGAAATATCTTCGTATAAAAACTACACAGAATCATTCTCAGAAAACACTTTGTGATGTGTGTGTTCAACTCACAGAGTTTAACCTTTCTTTAATCGAGCAGTTTGGAAATACACTCTTTGTAAGTCTGCAGCTGGATAATTGTCCCTCTATGAGCCCTTCGTTGGAAACAGGATTTCCTCTTATAATGCTAGACAGAAGAATTCTCAGTCACTTCTTTGTGTTGTGTGTATTCAAGTCACAGAGTTGAACCTTCCTTTACACAGAGCAGTTTTGAAAAACTCTTTCTGTGGAATTTGCAAGTGGAGATTTCAAGCGATTTGAGGCTAATCTTTGAAATGGAAATATCTTCGTGTAAAAACTACACAGAATCATTGTCAGAAACTGCTTTGTTATGTGTGCGTTCAGCTCACAGAGTTCCACCTTTCTTTTCATAGAGCAGTTTGGAAAGACTCTGTCTGTAAAGTCTGCAAGTGATTACTTGGACCCCTTTGAGGACTTCGTTGGAAGCGGGATTTTTTCATTTACTGCTAGACAGAAGAATTCTCAGTAAATCCTTTGTGTTGTGTGTATTCAACTCACAGAGTGGAACCTTCCTTTATTCAGAGCAGTTTTGAAACACTCTTTTTGTGGAATTTGCAAGTGGAGATTTCAAGCGAATTCACGCCAATCTTAGACATGGAAACATCTTCGTATTAAAAGTACACAGAGTCATTCGCAGAAACTAGTTTGTGATGTGTGCCTTCAACTCACAGAGTTTAACCTTTCTTTTCATAGAGCAGTTTGGAAACACTCTATTTGTAAAGTCTGCAAGTGGATATTTGGACCTCTTTGAGGCCTTCGTTGGAAACGGGATTTCTTCATATAACGCTAGACAGAAGAATTCTCAGTAACTTCTTTGTGTTGTTTGTATTCAACACACAGATTTGAACCTTCCTTTAGAGAGAGCAGATTTGAAACACTCTGTTTTTGGAATTTGCAAGTGCAGATTTCAAGCGCTTCTAGGCCTATGGCAGAAAAGGAAATATCTTCGTATAAAAACTACACAGAATCATTCTCAACAACTACTTTGTGATGTGTGCGTTCAGCTCACAGAGTTTAACCTTTCTTTTCATAGAGCAGTTTGGAAACACTCTGTTTGTAAAGTCTGCAGGTGCTTATTTGGACTTCTTTGAGGCCTTCGTTGGAAACGGGATTTCTTCATATAATGCTAGACAGAAGAATTCTCAGTCACTTCTTTGTGTTGTGTGTATTCAAGTCACAGAGTTGAACCTTCCTTTACACAGAGCAGTTTTGAAAAACTCTTTCTGTGGAATTTGCAAGTGGAGATTTCAAGCGATTTGAGGCTAATCTTTGAAATGGAAATAGCTTCGTGTAAAAACTACACAGAATCATTCTCAGAAACTGCTTTGTTATGTGTGCGTTCAGCTCACAGAGTTCCACCTTTCTTTTCATAGAGCAGTTTGGAAAGACTCTGTCTGTAAAGTCTGCAAGTGATTACTTGGACCCCTTTGAGGACTTCGTTGGAAGCGGGATTTTTTCATTTACTGCTAGACAGAAGAATTCTCAGTAAATCCTTTGTGTTGTGTGTATTCAACTCACAGAGTGGAACCTTCCTTTATTCAGAGCAGTTTTGAAACACTCTTTTTGTGGAATTTGCAAGTGGAGATTTCAAGCGATTTGACGCCAATCTTAGACATGGAAATATCTTCATATTAAAAGTACACAGAGTCATTCGCAGAAACTAGTTTGTGATGTGTGCCTTCAACTCACAGAGTTTAACCTTTCTTTTCATAGAGCAGTTTGGAAACACTCTATTTGTAAAGTCTGCAAGTGGATATTTGGACCTCTTTGAGGCCTTCGTTGGAAACGGGATTTCTTCATATAACGCTAGACAGAAGAATTCTCAGTAACTTCTTTGTGTTGTTTGTATTCAACACACAGATTTGAACCTTCCTTTAGAGAGAGCAGATTTGAAACACTCTGTTTTTGGAATTTGCAAGTGCAGATTTCAAGCGCTTCTAGGCCTATGGCAGAAAAGGAAATATCTTCGTATAAAAACTACACAGAATCATTCTCGACAACTACTTTGTGATGTGTGCGTTCAACTCACAGAGTTTAACCTTTCTTTTCATAGAGCAGTTTGGAAACACTCTGTTTGTAAAGTCTGCAGGTGCTTATTTGGACTTCTTTGAGGCCTTCGTTGGAAACGGGATTTCTTCATATAATGCTAGACAGAAGAATTCTCAGTCACTTCTTTGTGTTGTGTGTATTCAAGTCACAGAGTTGAACCTTCCTTTACACAGAGCAGTTTTGAAAAACTCTTTCTGTGGAATTTGCAAGTGGAGATTTCAAGCGATTTGAGGCTAATCTTTGAAATGGAAATATCTTCGTGTAAAAACTACACAGAATCATTCTCAGAAACTGCTTTGTTATCTGTGCGTTCAGTTCACAGAGTTTCGCCTTTCTCTTCATAGAGCAGTTTGGAAAGACTCTGTCTGTAAAGTCCACAAGTGATTAGTTAGACCCCTTTGAGGCCTTCGTTGGAAGCGGGATTTCCCATTTACTGCTAGACAGAAGAATTCTCAGTAAATCCTTTGTGTTGTGTGTATTCAACCCACAGAGTGGAACCTTCCTTTATTCAGAGCAGTTTTGAAACACTCTTTTTGTGGAATTTGCAAGTGGAGATTTCAAGCGATTTGACGCCAATCATAGACATGGAAATATCCTCATATTAAAAGTACACAGAAATCATTCGTAGAAACTAGTTTGTGATGTGTGCCTTCAACTCACAGAGTTTAACCTTTCTTTTCATAGAGCTGTTCGGAAACACTCTATTTGTAAAGTCTGCAAGTGGATATTTGGACCTCTTTGAGGCCTTCGTTGGAAAAGGGATTTCTTCATATAACGCTAGACAGAAGAATTCTCAGTAACTTCTTTGTGTTGTGTGTATTCAACTCACAGAGTTGAACCTTTCTTTAGAGAGAGCAGAGTTGAAACACTCTTTTTGTGGAATTTGCTAGTGCAGATTTCAAACGCTTCGAAGACAGTGATAGCAAAGGATATATCTTCGTATTAAAACTAGACAAAATCATTCTCAGAAAACACTTTGTGATGTGTGTGTTCAACTCACAGAGTTTAACCTTTCTTTAATCGAGCAGTTTGGAAATACACTCTTTGTAAGTCTGCAGCTGGATAATTGTCCCTCTATGAGCCCTTCGTTGGAAACGGGATTTCCTCATATAATGCTAGACAGAAGAATTCTCAGTCACTTCTTTGTGTTGTGTGTATTCAAGTCACAGAGTTGAACCTTCCTTTTCACAGAGCAGTTTTGAAAAACTCTTTCTGTGGAATTTGCAAGTGGAGATTTCAAGCGATTTGAGGCTAATCTTTGAAATGGAAATAGCTTCGTGTAAAAACTACACAGAATCATTCTCAGAAACTGCTTTGTCATCTGTGCGTTCAGTTCACAGAGTTTCACCTTTCTCTTCATAGAGCAGTTTGGAAAGACTCTGTCTGTAAAGTCTGCAAGTGATTAGTTAGAACCCTTTGAGGCCTTCGTTGGAAGCGGGATTTCTCATTTACTGCTAGACAGAAGAATTCTCAGTAAATCCTTTGTGTTGTGTGTATTCAACTCACAGAGTGGAACCTTCCTTTATTCAGAGCAGTTTTGAAACACTCTTCTTGTGGAATTTGCAAGTGGAGATTTCAAGCGATTTGACGCCAATCTTAGACATGGAAATATCTTCATATTAAAAGTACACAGAGTCATTCGTAGAAACTAGTTTGTGATGTGTGCCTTCAACTCACAGTTTAACCTTTCTTTTCATAGAGCAGTTGGGAAACACTCTATTTGTAAAGTCTGCAAGTGGATATTTGGACCTCTTTGAGGCCTTCGTTGGAAACGGGATTTCTTCATATAACGCTAGACAGAAGAATTCTCAGTAACTTCTTTGTGTTGTGTGTATTCAACTCACCGAGCTGAACCTTTCTTTAGAGAGAGCAGAGTTGAAACACTCTTCTTGTGGAATTTGCTAGTGTAGATTTCAAACGCTTCAAAGACAGTGATAGAAAAGGATATATCTTCGTATTAAAACTAGACAAAATCATTCTCAGAAAACACTTTGTGATGTGTGTGTTCAACTCACAGAGTTTAACCTTTCTTTAATCGAGCAGTTTGGAAATACACTCTTTGTAAGTCTGCAGGTGGATAATTGGCCCTCTTTGAGCCCTTCGTTGGAAACGGGATTTCCTCATATAATGCTAGACAGAAGAATTCTCAGTAACTTCTTTGTGTTGTTTGTATTCAACTCACAGATTTGAACCTTCCTTTAGAGAGAGCAGATTTGAAACACTCTGTTTTTGGAATTTGCAAGTGCAGATTTAAAGCGCTTATAGGCCTATGGCAGAAAAGGAAATATCTTCGTATAAAAACTACACAGAATCATTCTCAACAACTACTTTCTGATGTGTGCGTTCAACTCACAGAGTTTAACCTTTCTTTTCATAGAGCAGTTTGGAAACACCCTGTTTGTAAAGTCTGCAGGTGCTTATTTGGACTTCTTTGAGGCCTTCGTTGGAAACGGGATTTCTTCATATAATGCTAGACAGAAGAATTCTCAGTCACTTCTTTGTGTTGTGTGTATTCAAGTCACAGAGTTGGACCTTCCTTTACACAGAGCAGTTTTGAAAAACTCTTTCTGTGGAATTTGCAAGTGGAGATTTCAAGCGATTTGAGGCTAATCTTTGAAATGGAAATAGCTTCGTGTAAAAACTACACAGAATCATTCTCAGAAACTGCTTTGTTATGTGTGCGTTCAGCTCACACAGTTCCACCTTTCTTTTCATAGGGCAGTTTGGAAAGACTCTGTCTGTGAAGTCTGCAAGTGATTACTTGGACCCCTTTGAGGACTTCGTTGGAAGCGGGATTTTTTCATTTACTGCTAGACAGAAGAATTCTCAGTAAATCCTTTGTGTTGTGTGTATTCAACTCACAGAGTGGAACCTTCCTTTATTCAGAGCAGTTTTGAAACACTCTTTTTGTGGAATTTGCAAGTGGAGATTTCAAGCGAATTCACGCCAATCTTAGACATGGAAACATCTTCGTATTAAAAGTACACAGAGTCATTCGCAGAAACTAGTTTGAGATGTGTGCCTTCAACTCACGGAGTTTAACCTTTCTTTTCATAGAGCAGTTTGGAAACACTCTATTTGTAAAGTCTGCAAGTGGATATTTGGACCTCTTTGAGGCCTTCGTTGGAAACGGGATTTCTTCATATAACGCTAGACAGAAGAATTCTCAGTAACTTCTTTGTGTTGTTTGTATTCAACTCACAGATTTGAACCTTCCTTTTGAGAGAGCAGATTTGAAACACTCTGTTTTTGGAATTTGCAAGTGCAGATTACAAGCGCTTCTAGGCCTATGGCAGAAAAGGAAATATCTTCGTATAAAAACTACACAGAATCATTCTCAACAACTACTTTGTGATGTGTGCGTTCACCTCACAGAGCTTAACCTTTCTTTTCATAGAGCAGTTTGGAAACACTCTGTTTGTAAAGTCTGCAGGTGGATATTTGGACCTCTTTGAGGCCTTCGTTGGAAACGGGATTTCTTCATATAACGCTAGACAGAAGAATTCTCAGTCACTTGTTTGTGTTGTGTGTATTCAAGTCACAGAGTTGAACCTTCCTTTAGACAGAGCAGTTTTGAAAAATTCTTTCTGTGTAATTTGCAAGTGGAGATTTCAAGCGATTTGAGGCTAATCTTTGAAATGGAAATATCTTCGTGTAAAAACTACACAGAATCATTCTCAGAAACTGCTTTGTTATGTGTGCGTTCAGCTCACAGAGTTCCACCTTTCTTTTCATAGAGCAGTTTGGAAAGACTCTGTCTGTAAAGTCTGCAAGTGATTACTTGGACCCCTTTGAGGACTTCGTTGGAAGCGGGATTTTTTCATTTACTGCTAGACAGAAGAATTCTCAGTAAATCCTTTGTGTTGTGTGTATTCAACTCACAGAGTGGAACCTTCCTTTATTCAGAGCAGTTTTGAAACACTCTTTTTGTGGAATTTGCAAGTGGAGATTTCAAGCGAATTCACGCCAATCTTAGACATGGAAACATCTTCGTATTAAAAGTACACAGAGTCATTCGTAGAAACTAGTTTGTGATGTGTGCCTTCAACTCACAGAGTTTAACCTTTCTTTTCATAGAGCAGTTGGGAAACACTCTATTTGTAAAGTCTGCAAGTGGATATTTGGACCTCTTTGAGGCCTTCGTTGGAAACGGGATTTCTTCATATAACGCTAGACAGAAGAATTCTCAGTAACTTCTTTGTGTTGTGTGTATTCAACTCACAGAGTTGAACCTTTCTTTAGAGAGAGCAGAGTTGAAACACTCTGTTTTTGGAATTTGCAACTGCAGATTTCAAGCGATTCTAGGCCTATGGCAGAAAAGGAAATATCTTCGTATAAAAACTACACAGAATCATTCTCAACAACTACTTTGTGATGTGTGCGTTCAACTCACAGAGTTTAACCTTTCTTTTCATAGAGCAGTTTGGAAACACTCTGTTTGTAAAGCCTGCAAGTGCTTTTTTGGACTTCATTGAGGCCTTCGTTGGAAACGGGATTTCTTCATATAATGCTAGACAGAAGAATTCTCAGTCACTTCTTTGTGTTGTGTGTATTCAAGTCACAGAGTTGAACCTTCCTTTACACAGAGCAGTTTTGAAAAACTCTTTCTGTGGAATTTGCAAGTGGAGATTTCAAGCGATTTGAGGCTAATCTTTGAAATGGAAATATCTTCGTGTAAAAACTACACAGAATCATTCTCAGAAACTGCTTTGTTATATGTGCGTTCAGTTCACAGAGTTTAACCTTTCTCTTCAGAGAGCAGTTTGGAAAGACTCTGTCTGTTAAGTCCGCAAGTGATTAGTTAGACCCCTTTGAGGCCTTCGTTGGAAGCGGGATTTCCCATTTACTGCTAGACAGAAGAATTCTCAGTAAATCCTTTGTGTTGTGTGTATTCAACTCACAGAGTGGAACCTTCCTTTATTCAGAGCAGTTTTGAAAAACACTTTTTGTGGAATTTGCAAGTGGAGATTTCAAGCGATTTGACGCCAATCTTAGACATGGAAATATCTTCATATTAAAAGTACACAGAGTCATTCGTAGAAACTAGTTTGTGATGTGTGCCTTCAACTCACAGAGTTTAACCTTTCTTTTCATAGAGCAGTTGGGAAAAACTCTATTTGTAAAGTCTGCAAGTGGATATTTGGACCTCTTTGAGGCCTTCGTTGGAAACGGGATTTCTTCATATAACGTTAGACAGAAGAATTCTCAGTAACTTCTTTGTGTTGTGTGTATTCAACTCACAGAGTTGAACCTTTCTTTAGAGGGAGCAGAGGTGAAACACTCTTTTTGTGGAATTTGCTAGTGTAGATTTCAAACGCTTCGAAGACAGTGATAGAAAAGGATATATCTTCGTATTAAAAGTAGACAAAATCATTCTCAGAAAACTCTTTGTGATGTGTGTGTTCAACTCACAGAGTTTAACCTTTCTTTAATCGAGCAGTTTGGAAATACACTCTTTGTAAGTCTGCAGGTGGATATTTGGCCCTCTTTGAGCCCTTCGTTGGAAACGGGATTTCCTCATATAATGCTAGACAGAGGAATTCTCAGTCACTTCTTTGTGTTGTGTGTATTCAAGTCACAGGGTTGAACCTTCCTTTAGACAGAGCAGTTTTGAAAAATTCTTTCTGTGGAGTTTGCAAGTGGAGATTTCAAGCGATTTGAGGCTAATCTTTGAAATGGAAATATCTTCGTGTAAAAACTACACAGAATCATTCTCAGAAACTGCTTTGTCATCTGTGCGTTCAGTTCACAGAGTTTCACCTTTCTCTTCATAGAGCAGTTTGGAAAGACTCTGTCTGTAAAGTCTGCAAGTGATTAGTTAGACCCCTTTGAGGCCTTCGTTGGAAGCGGGATTTCTCATTTACTGCTAGACAGAAGAATTCTCAGTAAATCCTTTGTGTTGTGTGTATTCAACTCACAGAGTGGAACCTTCCTTTATTCAGAGCAGTGTTGAAACACTCTTTTTGTGGAATTTGCAAGTGGAGATTTCAAGCGAATTCACGCCAATCTTAGACATGGAAACATCTTCGTATTAAAAGTACACAGAGTCATTCGCAGAAACTAGTTTGTGATGTGTGCCTTCAACTCACGGAGTTTAACCTTTCTTTTCATAGAGCAGTTTGGAAACACTCTATTTGTAAATTCTGCAAGTGGATATTTGGACGTCTTTGAGGCCTTCGTTGGAAACGGGATTTCTTCATATAACGCTAGACAGAAGAATTCTCAGTTACTTCTTTGTGTTGTGTGTATTCAACTCACAGAGTTGAACCTTTCTTTAGAGAGAGCAGAGTTGAAACACTCTGTTTTTGGAATTTGCAAGTGCAGATTTCAAGCGATTCTAGGCCTATGGCAGAAAAGGAAGTATCTTCGTATAAAAACTACACAGAATCATTCTCAACAACTACTTTGTGATGTGTGCGTTCAACTCACAGAGTTTAACCTTTCTTTTCATAGAGCAGTTTGGAAACACTCTGTTTGTAAAGCCTGCAAGTGCTTTTTTGGACTTCATTGAGGCCTTCGTTGGAAACGGGATTTCTTCATATAATGCTAGACAGAAGAATTCTCAGTCACTTCTTTGTGTTGTGTGTATTCAAGTCACAGAGTTGAACCTTCTTTTAGACAGAGCAGTTTTGAAAAATTCTTTCTGTGGAATTTGCAATTGGAGATTTTAAGAGATTTGAGGCTAATCTTTGAAATGGAAATATCTTCGTGTAAAAACTACACAGAATCATTCTCAGAAACTGCTTTGTTATGTGTGCGTTCAGCTCACAGAGTTCCACCTTTCTTTTCATAGAGCAGTTTGGAAAGACTCTGTCTGTAAAGTCTGCAAGTGATTACTTGGACCCCTTTGAGGACTTCGTTGGAAGCGGGATTTTTTCATTTACTGCTAGACAGAAGAATTCTCAGTAAATCCTTTGTGTTGTGTGTATTCAACTCACAGAGTGGAACCTTCCTTTATTCAGAGCAGTTTTGAAAAACACTTTTTGTGGAATTTGCAAGTGGAGATTTCAAGCGATTTGACGCCAATCTTAGACATGGAAATATCTTCATATTAAAAGTACACAGAGTCATTCGCAGAAACTAGTTTGTGATGTGTGCCTTCAACTCACAGAGTTTAACCTTTCTTTTCATAGAGCAGTTTGGAAACACTCTATTTGTAAAGTCTGCAAGTGGATATTTGGACCTCTTTGAGGCCTTCGTTGGAAACGGGATTTCTTCATATAACGCTAGACAGAAGAATTCTCAGTAACTTCTTTGTGTTGTTTGTATTCAACTCACAGATTTGAACCTTCCTTTAGAGAGAGCAGATTTGAAACACTCTGGTTTTGGAATTTGCAAGTGCAGATTACAAGCGCTTCTAGGCCTATGGCAGAAAAGGAAATATCTTCGTATAAAAACTACACAGAATCATTCTCAGAAAACTCTTTGTGATGTGTGTGTTCAACTCACAGAGTTTAACCTTTCTTTAATCGAGCAGTTTGGAAATACACTCTTTGTAAGTCTGCAGGTGGATATTTGGCCCTCTTTGAGCCCTTCGTTGGAAACGGGATTTCCTCATATAATGCTAGACAGAAGAATTCTCAGTCACTTCTTTGTGTTGTGTGTATTCAAGTCACAGAGTTGAACCTTCCTTTACACAGAGCAGTTTTGAAAAACTCTTTCTGTGGAATTTGCAAGTGGAGATTTCAAGCGATTTGAGGCTAATCTTTGAAATGGAAATATCTTCGTGTAAAAACTACACGGAATCATTCTCAGAAACTGCTTTGTCATCTGTGCGTTCAGTTCACAGAGTTTCACCTTTCTCTTCATAGAGCAGTTTGGAAAGACTCTGTCTGTAAAGTCTGCAAGTGATTAGTTAGACCCCTTTGAGGCCTTCGTTGGAAGCGGGATTTCTCATTTACTGCTAGACAGAAGAATTCTCAGTAAATCCTTTGTGTTGTGTGTATTCAACTCTCAGAGTGGAACCTTCCTTTATTCAGAGCAGTTTTGAAACACTCTTTTTGTGGAATTTGCAAGTGGAGATTTCAAGCGAATTCACGCCAATCTTAGACATGGAAACATCTTCGTATTAAAAGTACACAGAGTCATTCGTAGAAACTAGTTTGTGATGTGTGCCTTCAACTCACAGAGTTTAACCTTTCTTTTCATAGAGCAGTTTGGAAACACTCTATTTGTAAAGTCTGCAAGTGGATATTTGGACCACTTTGAGGCCTTCATTGGAAACGGGATTTCTTCATACAACGCTAGACAGAATAATTCTCAGTAACTTCTTTGTGTTGTTTGTATTCAACTCACAGATTTGAACCTTCCTTTAGAGAGAGCAGATTTGAAACACTCTGCTTTTGGAATTTGCAAGTGCAGATTTCAAGCGCTTCTAGGCCTATGGCAGAAAAGGAAATATCTTCGTATTATAAAAACTACACAGAATCATTCTCAACAACTACTTTGTGATGTGTGCGTTCAACTCACAGAGTTTAACCTTCCTTTTCATAGAGCAGTTTGGAAACACTCTGTTTGTAAAGTCTGCAGTTGCTTATTTGGACTTCTTTGAGGCCTTCGTTGGAAATGGGATTTCTTCACATAATGCTACACAGAAGAATTCTCAGTCAGTTCTTTGTGTTGTGTGTATTCAAGTCACAGAGGTGAACCTTCCTTTAGACAGAGCAGTTTTGAAAAATTCTTTCTGTGGA